>NC_000012.12:44581340-44732855 GCF_000001405.40 Homo sapiens | reverse complement strand
TTCTGCCATTGAGCTGTGGAAATTCATTATGTATCTTGAATAGTGACTCCTTATCTGATACAATTTGCATATTTTCTCGCATTCCATAGGCTGCCTTTCATTCTGTTGAGTGTTTCCTCTACTGTACAGAAGTTTGTTAGTTTGTTGTAGTCCCGTTTCTCTATTTTTGCTTTTGTTGCCTGAGCTTTGGCATCATATCCAGAAAATTATTGCCAAGACCAATATTATGAAATTTTTTTCTATTAGTTCATGTAGGAGTTTCTTAGCTTCAGGACTTATGTTTAAGTCTTTAATGCATTTTGAGTTGATTTTTGTGCATGGTGTAAGATAGAGGTCTAATTTCATTCTTCTGCATTTGATATTGTTTTCCCAACACAGCTTGTTGAAGAGACTATCTTTTCCCCATTGTGTATTCTTAGTATTCTTGTTGGAGATTTGCCTGTATGTAAGTGAGTTTATTTCTGGGCTCTCTATTCTGTTTCATTATCTGTGTTTAATGCCAAAAACCATACGGTTTTATGTACTGTAGCTTTGTAATGTGTTTGAAAGTCAGGAAGTGTGAGGCCTCCAGCTTTGTTATTTCTCAAGATTTTTTCAGCTATTTAGGGTCCTTTATGGCTCCATATGAATTTTAGCATTGTTTTGACTGTTTCTCTAAAATGTAACATTGGGATTTTGATAGGGATTGCATTAAATCTGTAGATTGTTTTGGATAGTACAAATATTTTAACAATGTCTTCCAACCTGTAAGCACAAGCTGTATTTTCATTTTTTAATGTCTTTTTAAATTTCTTTCAGCAGTTTCATAGTTTTTAGTGTACAAGTCTTTTGCCTCATTGGTTATGTTTATTTCTAAGTATTTTATTATTATTGATGCTATTGTAAATGAGATTATTTACTTTATTTCCTTTTCCTATTTTTCCTTGTTAGAGTTTAGGCGCACAACCAATTTTCGTATGTTGATTTCATGTCCTACAAATTTGCTATATTTGTTCAAGAGCTTTAACAGATCTTTTGTGGAATCAGGGTTTTTTCATCTGCCAACAAAGATAATTTTACTTTTTCCTTTCTAATTTGGATGCCTTTTATTTATTTTTCTTACCCAATTTCTCTTGCTAGAAGTTCTAGTACTTTGTTGAAGAAAAGTGCTAAAAGTGAACAAACTTGCTTTGTAGTTAATTGTAAAAGAGAAACTTAGTTTATCACTGTTGAGTATAATGTTAGCTATGGGCTTTTCATGTATGACTTTTATTATGTTGAAGTATATTTCTTCTATTTATTGTTTGTTGAGTGTTTTATTAATCATAAAAGGGTGTTGAATTCTGTCAAATGCTTTTTCTTCTTATATTAAAATGATTATGTGATGTTATACTTTGTTCTTTTAACATGGTGTATCATATTGGTTGGTTTTCATATGCTGAGCTATCCTCACACCCCAGGGATAAATACCACTTTATCATGGTGTATAATCCTTCTACTGCGCTGTTGAATTGAGTTTGCTAGTATTGTTGAGGATTTTTGCATGTGTATTTCTCTGGGATACTGGCTTGTAGTACTCTTTTCCTGCAGTGCTTTGTCTGGCTTTCATATCAGGGTAATATTGGCCTCATAAATAAGTTTGGAAGTGTTCAATTTTCTTCAATGTTTTGGGAGGAGTTTGAAAAAGATTACCATTAATTCTTTAAATGTTTGGTAGAATTCTCTGCTGAAGTCATCTTGTCCTGGGCTTTTCTTTGCTGAGAGATTTTTGATTGATGAAGCAATCTCCTTACCAGTTATCTAATGATTCTGCTGTCATAGTAGGTTGTAGTGTTTCTAAAATTTATCCATTTCTTCTACATTATCCAATTTACTGGTGTTATAATTATTAGGAGTAGTCTCTTATGATCTTTTTATTCTGTGTATTGGTTGTAACATTTCCTGTGTATTTCTGATTTTACTTGAGTCTTCCCTTTTTTGCTTTCCTTCTTAGTCTACCCAAAGGTTTGTCAATGTTGTTGATCTTTTTAAAAAACAACCCTTATGTTAGTAGGTTTTATTTCTATTGTTTTTATCCTCTATTTCATTTTCTTTCTGCTCTAATCTTTATTATTTTCTTCCTTCTGTTAACTTTGAAATTAGTTTGTTCTTTTTCTAGTTCCTTGAGGTGTTTAGTTAGGTTCTTTGAGATCTTTCTATTTTTAAATGTGGGCATTTACCCCTATAAACTTCCCTTTTTTACTGCTTTTGCTGTGTTTCATCAATTGTATTATGTGATGTTTTTATTTTCTTTGTCTCAAGGTATTTTAAAATTTCTTTTTTGATTTTTTAGTTGATCAATTAACTATTCAAGTGTGTTATTTAATTTCCATATATCTGTGAATTTTCTAGTTTTCCTAGTGCTACTGACTCCTAGTTTCATTTCATTGTGTTTGGAAAAGATACTGGTATGATTTCATCTTCTTAAATTTGTTAAGACTTGTTTTATAGTATAACGTGGTCTATCCTGGAGAATGTTCTGTATGTCCTTGAGAAGAATTTACATTCTGCTCCTGTTGTATGGAATGTTCTATATATGTCTGTTAGATTCATTTAGTCTATAGTGTTTTTCAAGTCTTCTGTTTCCTTATTGACTTTTTGTTTGGATCTTCTATTCATGATTAAAAGTAGGGAATTGAAATATTCCACTACTCTTTTGTTACTGTCTGTTTCTCCCTTCAAGTCTATCAGTGTTTGCTTTGTATGCATAGGTGCTCTGATGTTGGGTATATTTATAATTGTCATATATTCATGGTATATAAACCCTCTTGTCTTTATATAATTTCCTTATTTATCTCTTATTTGACAGTTATGAATTTAAAGTACATTTTGTGTCATAGCCTGGCCAACATGGTGAAACCCTGCCTCTACTAAAAATACAAAAATTAGTGTGGGGGCAGGCACCTGTAATCCTAGCTACTCAGGAGGCTGAGGCAGAATAGATTGAACCCAAGGGGCAGAGGTTGCAGTGAGGCGAGATCACGCCACTGCACTCCAGCCCAGGAGACAGAGCAAGACTCCATCTCAAAACAGAATAAATAAACAACCAAACAAAAAGGCCTGGTGTGGTGGTTCACGCCTGTAATCCTAGTACAGGCGCATGCCTGTAATCCATCTCAAAAAAAAAAAAATCCTGGAAGCTTCTTGCTTTTGGTTATCATTTGCATGAAATATATGTTTCAAACATTTCACATTCAGCCCATTTATGTCATTAAATCTTAGGTAAGTCTTTTGTAGACAGCATATAATTGGCTCTTGGTTTTTTTTTTTTTTAATTCATTCAGCTGTTCTCTGTCTTTTGACAGTTTAATCCATTTACTTTTAAAGTTATTATTGATCGAGTAGGACTTACTATTGTCATTTTATTGTTTTCTGTTTGTCTTGTAGCTTCTTATCCTGCTTTTTCTCCTTTGTTGTCTTCCTTTGTGTTTCCTTGATTTTTGTGTGTGTGTGACACGCTTTTGATTCTTTTCTTATTTTCTTTTGTGTATCATCAATAGGAATTTTTGTTGTTGTTACCATGGGGCTGACATAAAATATAGCAATCTATTTTAAGTTGATAACAACTTAACTTTATTTCCATATACCTATTTACTCCCCTCCCCCTACACTATTTATCATTGATGTCACAAATTACCATTTTTAGGTGGCATGTCCATTAACATATTTTTATAGTTGTTATCTTTATGTTTTTATCTTTAAGTTATATACCAGAATTAAAGGTGATATATACACCACTGTTGGAGTATTATAGTATTCTGTATTTGTCTGTATATTTACCTTTACCAGTTAAAAAGTACTTTTATATACTTTCGTGTTGCTGTCTGGTATTTTTTTCATTTCAACTTTAAGGTCTTCTGTTATCATTTTCTGTAAGGCAGGTTGAGTGATGATAAACTTCATCAGCTTTTGTTATCTGGAAAAGTCTTTATTTTTTCCTAATTTTTGAAGGACAGTTTGGCTATGTATAGTATTCTTGGTTGGTGGATTTTTCTTCCAACACTTTAAATACGTCATTGTACTCTATTCTGCCTGCAATGGTTCCATTGATAATTCTGCTGATAGTCTGATGGCAGTTCCCTTGTACATGATTAGTCACTTTTCTTTTGCTTCTTTTGAAATGCTCTTTGTCTTTGACTTTTGAAAATTTGATTATAATGTGTCTTTGTGTAGCTTTGTTTGCATTTAATCTTGCTGAAGTTATTTTGGCTTCTTGAATTTAGATGTACATTTCCTTTCCAGATTTGGGAAGTTTTCAGCTGTTATTTCTTCAAACAAGCATTCTGCCTTTTTCTATCTTCTTCTTTCTGGACCCCCAAATGCATAAGTTGGTTCACTTGATGTTATCCCATAAGTCCTTTAGGCTTTCTTTATTCTTTTTTATTTGTTTTCCTTTTTGCTCCTCTGACTGCATTTCAGATGCACTGTCTTTGAGTTTGCTGATTCTTCTGCTTAATCAAATCTACTGTTGAACTCCTCTAGTGGATTTTTCAATTCAGTTATTGTATTCTTACATTCTAAATATCTGTTTGGTCATTTTAAAAAATTACTGTCTATTGATATTCTAAATATCTGTTTGGTCATTTAAAAAAATTACTGTCTATTGATATTCCAACTTTGTTCATGTATCAGTTTCCTGAGCTCATTGAGCAGCATTGTGATGGTCACTTTGACTTATTTTCAGGTAATCACATGCCTCTGTTTCTTTAGGTCAGTGTCTGTGGGTTTATTTTTTATTTTTTTTATTAGGCTGAGCACACTGACTGGCATATAATAGCCATTAAAGTAATAATTTTGTGTGTGTGTGTGTGAGTGAGAGTATGAACAAGAACATTTCCACAGTATTCTTCTCAATAAATGTGGCTGAGGGGAAATTCATCCATATATATAATAGCATCACTGAAGACATGAAGGATTATGGGAAGCCCTTTTGCTTCTTAGTTAATTCCAGAGGCATTTGGGGGTAATGTAACCAAATTTTCTTTTGATTATTTGTTATTGTGAGAAGGTTAATTTTGGCAATAATTTAATTCTTAATTTACAGAGTTAATATAATGTGTTTAACATTTTAACCTCGATGTTTCATTTAGCATAGCTGTCAAAAACTTTTACTTAATTGACCCCTAAAGAGAAAAGTTATCTGAAAAGAATAAAATACGATATACCTCAACAAATATTTTGTCCCAAGGTACAAGTACAGGTATATTTAATAAGGCTCAATCTCTAGTCTTACAGTAAATGTGAATTTCATTTTTCTCTTTTTCTCTCTTCCTCTCTCTTTCTGCTTTTCTCTCTCATTCTGCCTCTCCATCTCCCTCTTCTTCTCCATTTTTCCACTTCTGTTACTTTTATTACTCTTTTTGCAGTCATATTCATAAGCAAATTATTTAAAATTTAAGAAGCATCTGGAATAATTTTGGTCTGATTCTTATAGCAACCTGTGCATTACTGAGTGGGATTATCTAGGATTGAGATTTATAGTAAAAACTCCCTAAATTGACTAGTTGGATGAGTCTACACCAGTAATCCTTAACACTGCTCAGACATTAGAATCATCTGGATTCTCTTGAAAGATACTGATTTCCTAGGTCCCTCTCCTAGAGATTTTGATTTAGTTTGTTTGGATTCCACACAGATATTTTCAACAATTTCCCTATGTGCAATTTTTATGTGCAAGTCCAGTTGATAATTACTGATCTATAATCTTGCTACTCTAAGTGTGATCATTGAACCAGCAGCATTAGTATCCCTTGAGGCCTGGTTACATATGCAGAATTTCATGTCTCACTCTAGATCTACTGCTCAGCATACACATTTAAATAAGATCTCCAGGTGATTTGACAAACATTCATTGACAGTTTACATTGGCTCTGTTAAAAATTAAAAGAAATCAACTGAGTTTGAGGCTAAGCCTGTACACTTAATGTTTTCAACCCTGTTCATGTAAGTTGTATTTATATAATAATTGTAATATTACTTAACTGCTATAAATACATACTAATATATAAATCAACTAAATACAAATATGAAATGAAATAAAATTTGTTTTATACAAATTAAGTTGAATGATTTTGAAAAAGTTGATAAACTAAAATTACTAAAAAAGTACTGTTTTTCTCATTTTAAAGTTAAATTTATTTTAAACACGGTAAGTCTTTAACATAAAATGCAAGCATTTGAAAGCAATTGCAATCAAAATTTTCTTGATTATATTCAAGTTTAAGTATAACACATCTAAACTCTACCTTTATGTTTAGTTAGAAAAGCATTGGCAAATCATTGTATTTTAAGGTTTAGAATGAAATAAAGTTGAATGAGTCCAAATTCTAACCCATGGTTCTGAGGGTTAATTAACTAGAGATATGGAGATTTGACTGGACTAGAAAGCGAAGCCCATTGCGATTTGACTGGACTAGAAAGCGAAGCCCATTGCATCACCCACTTTAGGCAACACAAACTTTTTTGGGTTTCAGTTAAAATATGAAACACAAAGATAGACAGATAATATTTCTCACCTCATGAAGTCGTTTGAAGGAATAACAAAACTTAAAGAAATACATCTAGCGGAGTTCCTGATGATTTGTTTCATTCAGTAAAATATGTTTCCAACTCTTTCTTCAGTAAATGTATTTTTCTCCTTTGGAAATTTTATTTTAACTTTCTTAGTTTATAACTGTGTTTTATGTGTGTATATCTACTGTTATTTTTTTAAATTATTTATTGAAGGACTCTCTTGTCAATTACTTTTTACAGTAATAATTTTCAGTAAGTAAAAGTTTTAATAATATTTCTCAGTGTATTTATTGTTATGCATAATGGGATGTTAAAAAACTTTTTCTTACGTTTGGGGGTACATGTGAAGATTTGTTACATAGGTAAACATATGTCACTGGGGTTTGTTGTACATAGTATTTCATCACCCAGGTATTAAACCCAGTACCCAATAGTTATCTTTTCTGCTCCTCTTCCTACTCCCACCCTCCCTCATCAAATAGACCACAGTGTCTGCTGTTTCCTTCTTTGTGTTCATAAGTTCTTATCGTTTAGTTCCCACTTATAAGTGAAAACATGTGGTATTTGGTTTTCTGTTCCTGCGTTAGTTTGCTAAGGATAAGAGCCTCCAGCTCCATCCATGTTCCCACAACAGACATGATATTGTTTTTATGGCTGCATAGTGTTTCATGGTGCTTAGGTACCACATTTTTTTAATCCAGTCTGTCATTAATGGGCATTTATGTTGATTCCATGTCTTTGCTATTGTGAATAGTGCTGCAGTGAACAATCACGTGCATGTGTCTTTATGGTAGAAAGATTTATATTTGTCTGAGTATGTACCCAGTAATGGGATTGCTGGGCTGAATGGGAGTTCTGCTTTTAGTTTTTTTGAGGAATCACCATACTGCTTTCCACAATGGCTGAACTAATTTACACTCCCACCAACAGCGTATAATCATTCCCTTTTCTCTGCAACCTTGCCAGCAAATATTTTCTTTCATTTTGTAGGTTGTCTGTTTACTCTGTTTGTAGTTTCTTTGGCTGTGCAGAAACTCTTAAGTTTAGTTAGATCCCACTTGTCAATTTTTGCTTTTGTTGCAAAAATTTGTTGGTGTCTTTTTCATGAAATCTTCACCCATTCCTATGTCCAGAATGGTATTGCCCAGGTTGTCTTCCAGAGTTTTTATAGTTTTGGGTTTTGCATTTAAGTCTTTAATTCATCCTGAGTTGATTTTTGTACATGGTGTAAGGAAGGGGTCCAGCTTCAATTTTCTGCATATGGCTAGCCAGTTATCCTAGCACCATTTATTGAATAGGGAGTCTTCCTTATTGCTTGTTTTTTTTGTCAGCTTTGTTGAAGATCAGATAGTTGCAGATGTGCAGCCTTATTTCTGGGCTCTGTATTCTGTTCCATTGGTCTATGTCCTGTTTTTATACCAGTACCATGCTGTTTTGGTTTTGGTAGACTTGTAGTATAGTTTGAAGTTGGGTATTGTGATGCCTCTAGCCTTTTTTTTTTTTTTTTCCCCTTAGGATTGCCTTGTCTATTTAGGCTCTTTTTTGGTTCCATATGAATTTTAAAGTAGGTTTTTTTTTTCTAGTTCTGTGAAGAATGTCATTGGTAGTTTTATAGGAATACCACTGAATATGTAAACTGCTTTGGGCTGTGTAGCCATTTTAATGATATTGATTCTTCCTGTCTGTGAGCATGGGATGTTTTTCCATTTTTTTGTGTCTTCTCTGATTTATTTGAGGAGTGTTTTGTAATTCTCTTGGTAGAGGTCTTTCACTTTCCTGGGTAGCTGTATTCTTAGATGTTTTATTCTTTTTGTGGCAATTGTGAATGGGATTGCCATTCTGATTTGGCTCTCACTTTGGTTCTTGTTGGTGTATAAGAATGCTTATGATTTTTGTACACTGATTTTGTATCCTGCAAATTTCAACTTTTATTATAGATTAAAGCATACATATGCAGGTGTGTTATATGGATAAACTGCATGATGCTGAGGCTTGAGGTCCCAATGATTCCATCACCCAGGCAGAAAACATAGTACCCAACAGGTGGTTCTTTAGCCCACACCCTGCTCCCTTTCTCCCCCATCTAGTGATGCCCAGTGACTATTGTTCTTAATTTAACATCCATATGTATTCAGTGTTTAGCTCCCACTTATCAGTAAGAACATGTGGTTTTTGCTTTTCTGATCTCGTGTTAGGTTGTCTAGGATGATGGCCTCTAGCTGTGTCCAAGTTTTGCAAAGGGCATGATCTCATTCTTTTTTATGGCTGCATAGTATTCCATGGTGTATATATATACTACATTTTCTTTATCCAGTTCCTTGTTGATTGGCAGTTAGGTTGATTCCATGTCCTTGCTATCGTGAATAGTGCTGCAGTGAACATTCAGGTGCATATGTCTTTCTGACAGAATGAATTATTTTCCTTGGGTATATATCCAGTAGTGGGATTGCTGGGTTGAATGGTAGTTGTACTTTAAGTTCTTTGAAAACTCTACAAACGGCTTTCCATAGTGGCTAAACTAGTTTGCATTCTCACCAACAGTGTATAAGAGTTCCCTTAAAAAAGGTACCCTGAAATTATGTGTCAGTAAAACAACTGTAAATGTGGATGAAAACAGGGTATTAAAATTATTTCTCTTCAGACTGCTGAGCAAGTATCTATCTTATTACATTAAAAAAACCCCAAACAAAATGAAACTTATACTGGAAATTCTAGGTAACACATTGAAAGGCTTACTTATATAATCAAGACTACAATAAAGCACAATCAAGGAATCCATACTAAAATGTTCAACATCAAAACATGATTGAGTGTGAATTTGTGTGTTTAAAATGTTTAAAGTACATATTTATTGTCGTATATGATTTCTCAGTTTAACTGATTATTTTCAAACAATAGGCCAAATTCCATCAGATAACATAGGATAAAAAGGCTTCTACTGAATATCTCTGGACTGCCTCTATTCAAATGTTAATTTTATTTTTCTCTTCGATTTCCCCTTTCTCTGCATAGTAAAATAGTTGTCAACTTAGCTCTACCTGGGCAGCTCTAAAATATTAAAAGACCCAAGTCCTACCCTCAGAATTTTTTAACTCGTCTAGCATGCAAATAGGGCATTGAGTTTTTTTTTTTTTGAGACGGAGTCTTGCTCTGTCGCCCAGGCTGGAGTGCAGTGTGGTGCGATCTCGGCTCACTGCAAGCTCCGCCTCCCGGGTTCATGTCATTCTCCTGCCTCAGTCTCCCAAGTAGCTGGGACTACAGGCGCCCACCACCATGACCGGCTAATTTTTTTGTATTTTTAGTAGAGACGGGGTTTCACCGTGTTAGCCAGGATGGTCTCAATCTCCTGAACTTGTGATCTGCCCACCTCGGCCTCCCAAAGTGCTGGGATTACAAGTGTGAGCCACTGTGCCTGGCCAGGCATTGAATTTTAAATGTTCTTCAGGTGATTTTAATATGCATCTATTGTTGAGATCCATCAGCCTACTGGTTTGGGAGTATAGGTAAAACCAAGTTATAATAAATCACTTCCAGGTAATATAGGTTTCTAGACTGGATGTTCATTGGAATCCTGGGACAAAGTATATTATTGTGATTATTACTCTATTTTTGAATGTATTATGAGTACTCTTTTCCTGATTTAAATCATGCTAAATCATTTCACCCTCAGTGCTTATTTTCAAACACTCCTCTGTGTGAAGCATTTCCATTTCCACCCTTGTAAGACTGTGTTCTTCTCTGAGTTATATTTAGTTACCTGTGCATGTGCCCATCATTTCCCACATTAGGCTGAATGCTCCTTGAAGGCAGGGAAGATGACTTTCTACTACAGTGTTTCAGTGTCAATAAATGTTTCTTAGGTGGGGTGTGGTGGCTCACACCTATAATCCCAGCACTTTGGGAGGTCAAGGTTGAAGGATGACTTGAGGTCAGGACTTCAAAACAAGCCTGGGCAACAGAGTGAGACCCTGTCTCTACAAAAAATTAAAAAATTAGTGGGGCATTTTGGCGCATGCCTGTAGTCCCAACTACTCAGGAGGCTGAGGTGGATCACTTGAGCCCGGGAGGTTGAGGTTGCAGTTCATCGTGCCACAGCACTCCAACCTGGGCAACAAAGTGAGACCCTGTTGCAAAAAAAAAAAAGTTTCTTATTTTCACCAGGTGTTACCATTCTTGCCCCATGTCTTTATGAAATTGTTTTGGTTCTCCTGTTTATCATTTTATTGCTTACTCCTTTTCCTTCTCCTGTTCCATCTCCAGTATGCTATCAAATTTTTCTGTCCTCAGTTGCTTCCTCTGCTCTCTCTTCCCTCCTCTTTGTGCCATTCCTTCCGCTTGTCTTACTCTACACAGAGCTTGCTCCCTTTAACTGTGTGCTTTTTCTCTTATCTTGGCCCACATTCTTTGCATAATGGAGTTATTAATATAGCTGTCATGAAACTGCATTGAAAAATTTCCTCCTAATAGAGCTGCACCTCAATAGTTACCTCTTTTGTTTTACCTGCACACCAGAAACTGTTATAAAAGAGCAAAATCACTTTTTCAATGTTTTTTTACTTGTAATCTCTTAGTTGAGCACTAATATTTGGTTTATAATGAAAAGAATCATGCTTTGCAGTTCACACAGCATTTTGTGTTCAATATCTTCGTCACTATAACATCAAAACAACATGTGTCTAAATGGTGCTGGGCATTTTGAAAAAAAAAAGTTACACAAAGTTAAACCAAAGACGATGTTCCTGTATTGACCAAATTCACTGGGTTGGTGGTAAGAAAAGATGCACATAAGGACTGTCATATGGATTCTAGTTCTAACTTTGAAAGTGACAATATGTAAACTTTTCCTTACTATATTATACATTATATTTCTTTGTGTAGTGGTAATGAAACCTTTCTTCATGTGTGTCCATGTTTGTCGCTTTAATAGTATTTAAGTATTGACACAAATACTGTATTTTCCTCTAAATCTTTACCTCCAGTCATTCAATTTATTTTTCATATTGTCAGAGGACTAAATGAATTGATTATATTGTTGTTTTAATAGACTGTTATATGGTATATGAGCCAGGATCAAGAACAAGACTAGTGACAGAAAAGCAGCTAAATTAAAAGAATTTCAGAATATTTTTAGATTGCCATTTAAATTGGTAAAGTTAGAGTCAAAAATGCTGAATCTCTGCTTACAGCAATAGCGTGTGCTTTTTTGCTATTAACTTCTAAACATTCAATTTTTGTTTCCTCAGCATATACATTCTCTAACCTAGAGGCTGATCTGGACAGGGTGCTTGAATTTTTGCTCTTGTTCTATTCTGGGAGGTACTTTTATCCTCCTTTGCCTCCTAACCCCTCACTACTGCTAAATTTACAGTATTTCAGGGCCTGTTCTCTTTTTGGAAGAATAAGCTACTGACCTAAATTAAGGCCACCTATGGGAAGCACACTTTGGTCCTTTAGAAGCCCAAGGACATGGTGTATATAAAACAGAAAAGGGAGGTTGCATAACTACTATCAAGATCTCACTTCTTAAACTCTAATATTAGTTTGGCAAACAACTAAATTCCCAAACAATTAATGAGATTTAGCTAAGGGGCAGGATCATGTCTAATTCATGAATTTGTGAATTATTTAAGCACTCTGAACTTCTGATCATTTTAAATAGCATTGACTCACAAAAACTGGTTTTATATAGGGAAAGAAGAAAGTTTTGTCATTACATTGTCCGAGCAGACTTTCTTTGAGCATGCTAATTTGCATTATTCATGTTAGTAAGTTACTGCTATGAGAGTAACCAGCTACTTTCTTACTGCTCCCATTTCAGATGTTTCAAATGTGCTCGAGTTGAAAGTAAGCTGTCATTTTACAGAAAGGGCAGACTCCTTCTGTAAGACACAGGCTATAGAATCTTTTTTATAAGATGCAAACTCCACAGGTGAGACCAAATGTAAAGGGAAAAATGAGGTTTCAGTTCACTTATTTTTAGATTTCTTTATCAAACAGGAAGCTGAAAGAGAATTTACCAAAAAATTTAACAAACCTTGAGAGTATATTATGCAGGGCCCATGCTGGGTGCTGAATAAAATCCAAAGACAAGTAAGACACTCTGTCCTGAGATAAGAAAGATGAAAAAGTGTACAACTCACTAGAGAAAAGGAAAATGTGTTCAGTGCTATAATAGAGATTTAAGCATTGTAGAGAAGAGAGAGAGATTAATTTGTATCAGTTAGTGCTCAATACTTTTATTATGACCATATTGTTAAGAATTGACTCCAAGTGAGTCCAGTTAACAAAAAAAGGTTGTAGGCAGGATAAATGCAGCATAGCTGATTGGAGCTTTTTAAGAATATTAAAACACTTTTAAAATTTTTTGTTTGACTTTGCAGAATCTTAGCCTGCCTCATGAATGCATTTATTGTACATTCTTTTCAAAAATGTATAATAAGAATACAAATATACATAATTATAGTTAATGAGTTTTTTTCTCATCCAACAGCTTTGATTTGTATATCACTAACAAAATATTGGCTCAGAATGAAGTAACTGCTATTATACATTTTTAAGAAGTCTCCCAAAGGGAATCAAAATTTCAAACAATACCATTGGAAAGCTACTACTATATAAAACTCTGTCCTTAACAGACTGTCAATCCAAAGATCACTGATATTTGGTGTTTTGAAAAAGAATTTTAAAGAAACTGTAAGTCCCATGACTCACTTAAGTGAATTACACTGGCTTTCTTTTTGGTGTTTATAACTTTTAATTTTGTAAGGAATCATTTTTAAAGGTATTGGTACCAACTGGGAAGTTTAAAGTAGATGCATGAATTTTAAATCAGGTAATAAGAGGAAAAAGCTAGATATGTAGTGAGGAAATGTTTAAAAGTGAAATATGATGCCCTTTTGCTTGTATATTCTGAAATGTTTTTAGATAGGTTTAGATGATTCTTTCTACAAGGGTTTGCTAAAGTTCATTAAAATCTCATTAGAGGAAACTGCAGTTGCCATCTCTGCATTAATGACCAGTAAATCAAGATGTTAATGTGCAACTTAGAATTTTCAGAGTTTTACTGGCTTCTTTCACTTATCCATTTCTCAATCTGTGTTATAAATTACCTTTCACTTTTTAACAACTGATGACTTCTAAATTTGTCTGTAGCATCTCTTGGCTCCTATTTGCTGTTAATCGTTTTTATGTTCTTAAAATGGGGGAAAATGAAGTGAAAATAATTTTTATTAATTGATTTTTTTGGATTCCATCATAATTATGATGCTAGTGACTATCCAGTTTGTAATGTTTAAGATAGCCTTGGTAGAACGTATACATCAAGTGTTATATTGTCCTATTGAATTTCTCCAAGTTGTTGTTAATGTCTCCACTTATAACTGAATAGACTGTGCATAGGAAAGCTCTGGGTGACCTAAATCACACAGACCATGATGTGAATGCACTGCCTGGAGTTATGCCAACAGCAGCACCTACTAGAGTCGAGTAAATATGCATTTCACATTGTTTAATATTAATAACTAACAAGTAGCTGTGGTTCTGTGGGTTAATATGATTTCAAAATGGTATAGCATTCTTAGTCTACAAACTGATAAGCCTGTATGAATAAATTAAGTACATCTCCCTAGAAGTTTTATATCTTAAAGTATATACACATAATATATTCAATCAATCACTCAGCATAGACTTTTGAAAATATGGCCTAATTGAAACAGTTCTGCTTTAAGCTAGTAAGTGATTGGAGGTGTAGAAATCCAAAGTTACATCATAAAGAACTTAATGTGGTATACACACTCACTCACATATACACAAGCCACACAACAAAACTAGGGAAGAAATGAAGCCTCTGGCTGTAAACATGTGCATGCAATTAACATGGTTAAAAGGAGCAACAAATATAGTAAAAATGATTATTCCTTTATTGTTTTATTGAGGAAGTGAATTTTCTTACTTTATACTCTACTGGGGAGAGGTTAGAAGGCAGATACTTTTCAGTTAGAGAATTCCAGGGACGGTCCTGTAGCCATTGTGGTAGCCAGCGATTATTGTTATCTCTCAGAATTTGCACCTGATACCTGCATGGGTTCGCCTTGGTTAAAATTAGGGCATAGGCCCGATCTGCTTTCCCTCCTCTGTTTACACACTTGATTTTCCCAGAGCTCAGTTCCCTCATTTTACCCTCTGGCTGCCTATAAACCTCATTTTGATAATCTCAAGGAGGGACAACATTTTAAAAATATCAGTTTTCTCTTTCAAATCTTTTGTTTCTGTGTTCCGCTCTCTCATGCCCTTCTGAGCAAGCTATCCTGGTAAACTAGACCTCTTAATGGCTTATAGTGAATTAACGTAATAGACATTTGTTCTTGTTATTGTTCCTGGGCACCCAACACTCCCATTTCCATTCTTTGTCCTCTGTCCCCCAGGAGCCTGACTTCTGCAGCCTGCATCACTCTGGTCTCCTTGCCAGCTAGTTTCAAGTAGCGTTCACCAATGGGAGACACTGGCAGGAAACTGGAAGGCAGGAGGAGGAGAGAAGGTTGGCTATGTTTCTTTCCTGCACCAAGCTATGTCTCTGGCAGTAGCTGTGCTCTCATGATTACAGCTTTTACAAGGCAGCCTCTCCTCCATAATTCTGGCTTACACTGGACTCTAGTAAAACCATTTTCTTCCCTTGTTCCTTAGCCTTAGGGTAATGATGATCCCTTGCTTTTACCACAGTCTGGATCCTTAACCAGCCCTTGTTTATTTTCTTAATCTTAATCCAGCTGTCCCTTCTTAGAAGTTCGTTCGGTCTCCTGAGTTTCCATATAACTTATGGATTATTTAATCATAGAATTTCAGTTTGACTTCTCTTAGAGTTAGTTGTGTATGAGTCTGTCTGCCCTACTAAATATTGAGGCATGAAGCACATTAAATTCGTCTTTGAATTCCAGTACCTAGGAGAATATCTAACATGTAATAGGAGCTCAGTACATATTTGTTAAATGTATGAATAGGTTAACATGACTGTTACTCTCTCAGTCTTCTCTTAGAAAACTCCTAGAGCCATTCTAATGGCATTTTTATGATTCCTTGCAGTGTTTTTAGGAATCATTATATCTTTTTTGAATTTCTTCACATTTCTCCTCTAAAGAGTCTAGGGAAGAAATATCCTACTAGTATTACTGAATATTCCATGTCAACATTAGACTTATGGAGAATTACAGCAACTGATCAAAAAAGAAATGAGATAAAAATCACTCACTTTGGTTTCTCTCTAAGCCAACTTCATCCTGCTTGTGCTCATTGCTTGAAAGAGAATTAAGCAATTGTGACCTCATTCATTTTTGTGCTTTTTCCCTCCCTGCCAAGCTCCATTTGGTGCCCTATTGTCCCACAAGTTGCCTATTTGAGTCTTCTGAATTAAGAGTCTCAAACAGAAGGCCCATCTGCTCTACATGAATATTAAATTATCAAAAGACTTTTAATAAGGAGAATTTACCCTTGTGTTTTTTTTACAATGTTTCCTTTCCCCTCTGTGTAAGATTTAGAGCACCATTGTTTTTCTTCCACATACGCTTGGACTTGAATAGGCTGCAGTTATCAAGTCGTATAATATAATAGGCTTAGAAACTTTTGAATGGCAGGTACTGAATAGATGTAAGAAAGGTTTTGTTTATTCTCATTATCTTATAAAATATAGTACTTATTAAGTATAATTAAACATGCAATATGCTAGGTCTTGGTATGTTGAGGTTACTGAGTTTCATAAAAACAAAAAAATCCTAAAAATTAGATGTCAGAGAGGTAAATTTTGCAATCAATCATGTTTATTAAGTAAATGCACATACCATTTTAATTCATAATATGATAGATAGTATGCAACTGACAAATACATAGTTTCATTTTGAATATTCACGAGTGAGCATATTTTAGCCAGACTTTAAGTCATATGATTAGTGCAAGTAAATTTTATTCTTTGCTAGCAAGCTCTAAAAAGTTCAAAATCAGTTGGCTAGGAGATATGCATTATGTAGTCAAATTTGTTAATAAATGCTGTGTAAGGAGATCAGTTGGAGGATGACATTTTAAAAAACGTGCATGGTTTCCATTATTTAATTAATTTATTTATTTGACATTATTTAAATGTGCAACTTTAAAATAGTTTTTCAAGGAAAGCGAGAGTCAGGTTATACTTTGGGAATGAATATTTGTACAACAATATATTGATATTATTAAGAGAATAGACCAGGCATGGTGGCTCATGCCTATAACCCCAGCACTTTGGGAGGCTTAGGCAGAAGGACCACTTAAGGACAGGAGTTTGAGACCATCGTGGGCAACACAGCAAGACCCTGTCTCTAAAAGAAAAAAATAAATAATAAAATTTAAAAGTAAAAATATGTCTACTTTCTTCCTTCTTTATTATTGGCAAGTTGATAGTTTTAAAGGTAATAGGGATATATAAATTCCAAAGAGTGAGACAATTTCTCATAATTCACACAGTGGAATCAAAAGAAAATATACCCATTCACTTTATATAATTTGTATAGTTAAAATAAAAAATTGGATTTAGTAAATTTGGGGAACAAATTGCCAGAGTCTGTATCAGTTGATCACTTCCACTGGTCTTTGAAATAATTATCTTGGGGTAGATCTAGATGTTATGGGGACCTGAAGCATCTACAATATTGGGTGGCCTTTCAAAGATAAACAATACAAAATTATGAAAGGAGAACTTAGTTCAGCATCTTACAAGGAGCCTAAGCCAGAGAAGGACGCTGAAAATTAGGCATCATTAGCTTTAGGGTAAATCTGTTTCACCTTAGGTGATGAGTCAGTGTAGGTCGTGTGAAATACTTCAAAACAAGGAAATGATTTCTGTTGGCTAAATGTTTGTGTGAACTGTAAATATGTTGCAGGTTTTAGAAAAAGATTATTTGATACTCTATGCATTTTTATGGATTAAAAACATATTTTTCCCATGGAATCTAAGGTTACATTTTAAAATTTCACTTAATTGTGATGGAAGCAAGGCAGGTTCAGATTCAGACCTCTCAGCATCCTAGATGGGGTGCCCTAACCCATACATACTTATAAATAAAATGACACTAAACCATAAAACTTAAAACTTACATGGATGTGCTGAAATGAATATACCTTCTTTCTATTATAATGTTCTATTTTAAAATTCTGTAATGGTATATAAAACAAAAACTTTTCTCATATTGTTCCCTGAGTCTCATATTACCCCTGATTTATTGCCGCCCTAAGTGACTACTTAATATGCCCTAAGTGGGACATCATCTATTAGGCAAGTAATTGGCTGTAAGTCTGCTTTTTGGCACTACTTTTTCAGAGTCTAATTCAGACATGTCATTGCCCTTTATCTTTTTTATATCTTATTTTACTCTCTCAACTTAATTTGCATGACACTAATTTAAGTTTACATGTGCCTTGCAGTAGATTGAATTGAGGTTTCTGGTTAGTCATACATGTTGAAAAAAGGTGTATAACATGTGGAATGCTGTTACAAGATGATCTGATCCCTTCTAAGCTATTTTTCCCAATAAAATAAATATATATGTATTTTTTACTCCAAAGCGATATGCCAATTTCAAGGACGAACCTACTTTGAAGGAGAAAGAAATACAGTCTATTCCTCTTCTGGAGTATGTGTTCTCTATGAGTGCAAGGTAAGAAGACTATTCGTGGGTCTTTCAAAATTGTTTCTATTTATAAACAAGATAAAAGTTTCTTTACTAGCTCAACCTTGAAATACATTTTTGAAATTCTAATGCAAAGAGAAAATTCACAATATTAATTATCATTTGAATGTAAAGAAATTCTCATTTTTAAGCATGTAAATTAGTGGTTGAAAAATAATTTTTCCAAGAAATGAAAATGCTATTTTGTCAAATTAAAGCTTTATGAAGTTGTCGTATGTTTTCCAAATTCAAATAAGCTCCTTATTTGCTCTTGGGAGGAAAATGTAGGTGAAGTTAGACTTAGCTTTTTGTCACTCATGATTTTGTACCATGTGAGAAGTATTGCTCAGTTCAATTAAAAACAAAACGAAAAATTACCTAACTAAAATTAATTGTTGGATGGAGTTGAGACTGATATTTATCTAATTCCCTTTGGAAGGAGTGTTTTAAATTAGTTAAAGGGAAATTCCTTACAAATTTACTTGCCAAGGTTTCTGAAGCAAATGTGATTCATTTGAATTTTTGCCCCTCGACCTACTAATTGAAAAACTAAATATGTTTCACAACACTTTTCATGTTTGTCTTTTGTAAATTATAATGTTATATTTCTTGACCCTAATGTTACATTAAAATCCTTATTCTATATGAAGGAAACTGTCTATATATAAAATTTCTGCTTTAGGGTTTCATTTTTATTTGATAGTTAATTTTCCTCTTTAAATACCTCCTATACATGGTTTGGGAAATGATTTAGTATGTATAAATTATGTAGAAAATTAAGATAGTGATTTATGCTGCTGGCACCACCAATAAACTATGATTGCTAAGAGTGAGGGAAAGGAAAATCCTAAGAATTTTGCTAAGACAAATTGAATCTGAAAGAAGCTATCCAGTTTATGCATCTTAATTTGGAAATCCTTTGAGATAAGCAAGGAGGAGATGCAAAGAGGCAAGACTGTGACAGATTTGATTTCTAGAACATGAAAGCTCTGATTTCTTCATGCCCATTATAAAGTATCCTCTCTTCTTCTTTTAGTTTTAAATCAGCTTTCCAATGATGTAGGTTCTCATCTTAGAGAATAGAGGCACAGGAACATTAAAATGAATTCCTCAACCTGTATTTCAAGATGATGGATTTTCCTTTATCAGCCTCCCTACACCAATGCCGTTTTAAGTGGAGTAAGTCTCACAATAGATAAAAGAATTGGAAGACAGAGTGAGATCTAGTAACTCCAAAATGAGAAAAGAGACTCAGAGAAGTTACTTCAAGGAGGGAAGAAAACTTCTGCCAGCTGGCTTCTAATAGTAATCTCTAACATTAAAATTTTGGTTCTAAATTTAAAAATCTTGAGAGCATTTAAAGTTTCTCTACTTCTCTTTCTCTCTCTCTCTGTCTCTCTCTCTCTCTCTCTGTCTCTCTCTGTGTGTGTGTGTGTGTGTGTGTGTGTGTGTGTGTGTGTATCCTATTCATTTTACCAGAATGTGTCTCATAATACTGATAATTGTGGTTTAGAAATGTACTGGTATAATTGCCTATTGGATTTTAAATTTGCTATTATATAAGATTATTTGATTTTAAATAGGTTCAGTTAGAAGTCTTTATAGAGGCAACACAGCAGGTGCTCATAAATTTTAGATAAATGAGTGAATGTTACCTTTTATTTGCTCAAACAAAAGGCACCATTTTCTACCTTCTAATGCTGCACCATCCAATAGAAATATGATGCAAGCCACAAACGTAATTTTTATTGGACTAGTTTTTTTCTGTTTTCCCCGATATATCCAAAATATCATCATTTCAACATGTAATCAATATTAAATTTATTAATAAAATATTGTACATTCTTTTGTTACACCAAGTCTTCAAACTCTCTTGCATACTTTGCAATTACAGTGTAAAAGAGCCACATGTACCTAGTGACTACTGATTGGACAGCACAGCTCTATCAGATCATCATAAGCTTTTGTACTAAATTCTTCACTTTAAGGTGTTCCACAGTTTCTTTTCCCTTCAAGGCCCTTAGCTCCTGTATTTACTGTGTTGCAGAATTGACAGCTCTCTCACACATCCATTTTCTGGGCTGTCAATTCGAGTCCCTGTTTGTTCTTTTATTGTCAGTTTTGTCCTTTTGAAAATATTAGCAGTCCTAGGGGTCTGTGACTTTCATAGTAACACAGAAAAACACTGTGGTTTAGAAAATCAGATTACCAGAACTGATATTACTACTAAACCAAAAGAAGACTAGCGTTTGACTCCACTGTATACATGCCTCCTGCCAAGCTTCTTGACAAGAGCTTATGATTTGGAGAAGGTCCTTTACATAAATGAGCCAGGAAAAGGCAGATATTGAAATGTGCACTTCTTCTATGAAAGCATTCCTTGCAGAAATTCAATCTACAAATCTAAGCTATTGAGCAGTAGTTAACATGGAAGCTTGCAAGTTCCAAGAGTTATTTAATTACTTATGTATTGGTTAGCATAATATAACATAGTTAATGATCCTTGTTTTTAGGACATTGGAGACTGACAGTATAGAAAACAAATGTTTGCTCCTAAGGCAAGAATACTTCAATTATCAGAAGTGTATTTTGTATTTTGGTTTCTCCTTGGGAAGTGTTTAATCTTTTTGGCTGCAAGAACTACAGTGATTTTACATTGATTTATTCATTTATTCAAGAAATTTTTTAAGTGCCAATTATGTGCCTGAAAATGTGCTAGACATTAATTTACAAGAGACAAGAATCCTGCCCTCATTTTCCCTGTAGTTTTGTGGAAGACATCCAATATTTCTTACCAGAATCATCTGTGAGAATCTCCTTATAATAAAACTTTATAAGAAAACTGAAATGTTTCGAAAGCTCAATTTTAATTTACTGTTTTTTTTCAAAAGCTGTTGATATAATTCAAACTGTATCTTTGCCACAATTGTCATCTGGGCTTGCAAAATGTGTTGTAAAACTAGCAAAATTTTCCAGGATTACCCAGATGTTTGGCAAATTATAGACATGGCTGCAGTGTGGTGGAATCAGTGTGGCTGATTCTTATTCTAAAGACTTGCTTATTCTAAAGACTTTCCAATTGGGATTTAATGTCATTTTGGGAGTGAGCCCATGACCTGTGCAGAGGTCCTCAGGACAAAAATTTCTTGATCTTAAAAGAGTCTTCTCAGATGCTGGATCTGGAAACTTCTTAACAAGTCCTAATGATAAAATTTGAAGCACTTCTTTTCTGTTGTCTAACAGGACCAGACCATGAAACTTGTTGAGAGTTCAGGCTGTCCAGCTTTGGATTGTCCAGAGTCTCATCAGATAACCTTGTCTCACAGCTGTTGCAAAGTTTGTAAAGGTAAGACTTTTTTGAAAAGTAAGGTTTACGTGCAAGAGTTATTATAGTAGGCTAGTACAACTGACATGAAGTAGAAATTCTCATAAGCAAATTATTTCCATAGACTAATAGTATTTCCCTATATGCTCTCCTAATTTGGCACAGAGTAGCACAGTAGGTAGTCATGAAATATTTACTGAACTGAATTAAAACTGAACTGCTCCTGTGCATTTCTGCAAGTTGTCTTGAACCTGTCTCAAGCTCTGGATCTCTAAATTTCTCTCTGTGTGCTGGTTTGGAGTCAGTACAGCTTTGCTAAAGAAAGTTACACAACAATATTGAGTTAGTTATTTTATTGGCAGTTACTGTTTCTTGGCAAGTGAGTTTTGTTTGTTTTTCATTTCTCCTCAGCTTCTTTTTATAACTTACCTAGAATATTTTTCATTATGACTACTTCAAATCCCTTTCTTCTTGATTCTACTCTCAATTCTCACCCATAGGTTTCTGGACTACTGAGAATGGAGAGGCCATCAGACATACATTGTTTGTTCTGTGTTGCCTCTGATATGATACAACTAGAACTAGTAATTAGAAGGGACTTCAATTATTAGTTGAAGATAAGAAAACACTAAAATTTGTGCTATTCAAAAATGCAACAGGCCACCCCAGAAGGCAGTGAATTTCCATCACTAAAGATTTTTAAACTAGGTATCTTATTATAGATTCATGTATTAAATTAAAGCATTGATTATATGGAACTCTTTAAGATCCTTGCCAATCATGAAATTATATGTGCCTTCCTGTATTATACGGGAATTATATGCTTATGAATCCATCTTCTACATTAGACAGTGCACCTTGTGGGCAGGGCTGAGTCTTTATGTTCATCTCTATATCCTTAATACTTAGTATGATACCTGGAATGTAGCTGGTACTTATAACTGATGTAATTGGTGCTGTATAACAAACTGCCCCAAATAAGCTACTAGTACTTGTTTGAATAATGACCTTTATATTGATGCAAAACAAAGCTTAAATAGAAAAAGTAAGACAAAGAAACATTATGAAACATACACTGTTTTGTTTTCTTTTAACTTACTCTATTAAAAGTGGACATAGGATCTGATAGATCCTAGATCACCCACTCCCATTTTTAGCAGGGTGGTGCAGTTTGGTTTTGTTTTTAGTTTTTAAGTTACTTTTCCATCCACTCAATAGTTTTTAAATCTCATTTTATGTGAGGCTCTTTAGGAATTACAAAATGGTTTAAGACATGGTCTGCCTTTCGAGGAGCTTTCAGGGTAACCTGCAGTAATAAAGAACACTTCTAAAAAGAACTATGATCACATAGACATATAATAAGGACCATAAGAGTTTTCACTCTCACAGTGCCTAAGTCAGTGCCTTACACAAAGCATGTGTGCAATTTGATATGAATCAAGAATGCTCTTTGGATTCAGTCCTCCAGTTTGCAGCTTGACTAGAGTGTCTTTGGCATCCAAACATAGGCAGGCCATATCAGTGTTTCTTAAACTTAAATATACATATGACTAACTTAGGCATCTTATTAAAATGCAGATTCTGATTCAGTAGGTCTGGGGTCAGGCCTAAGAATCTGAATTTCTACAAAAAAGCTCCTAGGTGATGCTAATGCTGATGGCAAGCAGGACCACACTTTTAGTAGTTCTCTATTTCTGCAAAAAAACTATCTATTGCTGCTCCAAATCTCAGTGGATTAAAGCAATAGTATTGTGGGTCAGGAATTCAGACAGGGCTTGGCTAGGTGATTCTTGTGCTCCACATGGTGTTAACTGGGGTCATTCAATGCTGTAGGGCTGGAAGCCGGGCTTGGCTGAGAGGTTCAAGATGGCCTCACTACATGTTGGTTACCTTGGGTAGGGATGGTTAGAAGGCTGAGCCAGCTGGCACTCCCTCCCTCTCTACGTAATCTAAGGACTTCTTCCTATGGTCTCTCCAGCAGGGTAATCATCAGACTTCTTAAGTGGTGACTCAGGCCTTCAAATACTAGGTCTGGAACTGGCACCACATCACTTCTATCATATGCAATTGGTCAAAGCACTCACAGGCAGCCCACATTCAAGAGAAGGGGAAATAGACCTCACCATAGATAAGAGTGCTGCAAAATTGTGACCACTTTTAATGGCTATCTTTAATGGACACTGCAGGTGTCCAAGGGCTATACAGAAATTACAGAGATGAATAGCGTAGAAGTTAGTCAAGGTTGGGTAGGATAAGATTTGGGTAAAAAGCTGAAATAGGGCCTTTAAGATATCAAGAGAAACCTTAACTACATCTATTTCTTTTTAAAAGAGTCCTAATATATTATGAAAAGCAAGTTAATAAATGGAAAATGCTAGTAAAATTGTGTTATATTTAAATTATTTACAGTTAAAAAATGTGTTTACATAGCATACTTAAAAATACAATGATAGACTATACCATGACTAATACTTCCTCCATCTGAGATTCTGATATAACTGATAGGAGTGGGGCCTTGGCATTACTATTTTTAAAAAATCCCTGATAAATTATTTTTCACAGCTAGGATTGTGAACCACTGGCTTAGATAATCCTCAAACTGAAATTGGACAGATTGGCCCTTCTTGAAATATTTAGCGCTATTTTTAATAAAGATTGCATTAATTTCCGATTCAAATATGTGAAATAAACGTGTTCTCCTGGCATTTTCTAACTTTCAAACTAAAAGAAGTCAAGTTTTCAAGGCTTAAATTTTTAGTCAACTCCTAAAGATATGTTGTGACAAATTCATTTGTGATAAAATTGGCCTCCTGTTTCCAGGCCTATTTGTATAGTGCTAAAGATGGTGTGTTCACATCTGAAAGAGTAGTTGTTGGACAACAGTTAGTAAATATTCCCTGAGAGCAGAGCATGAGATGAAGTGTTGACTTTTTCACTAGAGGCTCAGCCAGTGGTTGGAAACTAAGCTACACACCGAAGTCAGGCTCCAAATTGGTAGGCGCTAAATCAAATTCACCCAAGACTGTGTTCTAGGTACCCTGTAGCTAGCCATCTTCTGTAGTAGCAGATCAGAAGAAATGTAGCAGAAAAGTTTTCCGCTTTTTTCAAATTAGAGAGCCCTTTCAAGGAAGCTTATAACAGATTACCACATGACAGAGACTGAGTGATTCAGTGAGGATTCTGATTTAGAAAGATAAAGAAATAATGTGGATAACCTTTATATCCACAGTCCTTCTGGTTCTTCTCCTCCTCCTTGGCAACCACTTTGTCTGCCTGCAAGATCATTAAGGCTTATTGACTAGATGGCCCTCCTTAATTTATTATTTACTTCATCTCAACTCATAATTATAAGCAATAGGGGCATCCACATACAGAAGGCTGAGTTAGTGTCAGTTCTCCTTTCCCTGGGAAACTTCTGGATAACCCATAGTTTCCCATATTATTCAATTATCACCTTCATGATTCTGGCTATGTGCTATGTATATGTTACTAATACCATTATATAGTTAATTTTTAAATACCTACTATAGTCGACTCACTTTTAAAAGATTTAGTTTTATTCCTAAGCGGTGGTAGCCATGAAATAATAGGATTATTTGCTGGATTTGTGTATTTCTTATACACATTAAAAGAAATCCGTTGGTATTAGTATTTTTTTATGTTCATCCACGTACATGAGTTACACTTTAGGAAACACTAGGATAATCCATTATCTTGCAAACAACACCTAAATTAATATTCTTTCATGTACAAGTGATAGAACACCCAATTCAAGTTTCATGGCAAAAAAATGGAATATGTAGGCCCAATAAGCAGAGGATAAATTGGCTTCAGGTGTAGCTTGATTCTGCTCTCAAATCTCGTCCCTTTGTCTTGATGCATCTCTCAGTTTATCTCCTGTGAGATAGCTTTATTTTGAGGCTCGATGTGTTCTCAGCTATACCCCTACATTCTTACGCTCATATCATTATGCCATTCAAGTAGGTGGAAGAAAAAGCTCAGCATTCTCATACACTGAATAAAACCCCCAGAATTGAGTTTCAGTGGTCTTCATTAGCTTGAAGTAGATAATATGCCCTGACCTGAAGAAATTGTTGTGTCCAGGCCAGTGGACTGCATTGGCTGGTGTGACTCTATCCTGTGGAGGAGTAGAGTCCATTTTCTTATAAGCATCTGGGCTGAAAGTAGGGGTGAGTGATAACGAGGTTATTCTTTTTTTCCACAAAAACAAGAAATAGATGCCTTTAGGCAAAACCTATAAATATTCACCACAAAATTATTGTATTCTCTTTCTCTTGATAATTATGTATTATATATATACTGTTCCTACTTACACATAATCTTTTGTATCCATCCTCCCCTCTTTTCCAGTTATATAAGAATGCATGTTTATATTTTACCAAAAGTTCTACACTTGATAGAAAAACATAGAACTTTATGTAATTTTGTAAAGCTTGCAAAGGGATTAGAGAACATAATATCCTTGAAGTTAAAACCTAAAGAAGGAAATCAAAGAAAGGCTAGGTTGTATTAGATAATTGGTTCATCCATCTGTCTATAACAAATATTTGAATTTTCTTTTATGGATCTCAACATATTTAATTTCAGCTTAGTAGTGCTCTAATAACTTTAGTTATTAACGAATAATATATTATTATGCTTTTACATAGATAATTTCATTGGAACCTCACATTTTTACAAGGTAGTTATTATACTAATTTTTATTGGTGAGAAAAACTGAAGGCTTAGAAAGGTTAATTAATGTACAGTTAGTAATTTACACAGCAAGTTAGTGGCAGAGATCAGATGTAAACTCAGGCCTGCCAACTCCAATAGCCAAGCACATATGAATGGAAATGCAACTATGAAGATAATAGGATTATGTTGCCAACCCATACTCTGATTTGTTTAAAGCTATTCCCTATAGATCAGAAGCAACCCACTCGAAATCAAGTCTGAATTTTCCATCCATTAATTGTTAGCTTTTTGACCCTAGCATTTTGCAAAATAACCAGTAGGTTCAATCAACTTATCTGTTGGAAGAATGAATCAAAATAGCTGACATTGTTTATAGAGAATTGGAATTCGAATGACTGAAATTTTAATTTTTCAAGTATTTGTGTTTAAAAAAACCCATCTGATAAAAAGCAAGGCACTTCCTAATTTTTACCTAAAACAGTGAAAGTTGGATCACACTGTTATCTTACAGTGAGAAAATTCTTGCAGCAATTAAACTCTACATAGTGTATGTGTGCAAGATGTTTAATGCTGAGATGAGAGGTCTCACCATTACTGAAACAGAACTGAAAATGGATGATAATAGAGGTGGCATATCACATATGGCATAGATAATATTGGGCAGAGTCCAAGATGGGAGAGGAGAAAATTCAACCAAGTGAAAAGTTGAAGGAAGGTTTTGAAAAAAAGGTGTATCAGAAATGGTATCCGTTCTTAGTCACAGTCCTCTGAAAGTTGTTTGAAACAGTACAGGCAAAATTATGCAGAAATTTAGCACTGTGTTAGAGCTTTGTTTCTTAATTCTCTGTGTATCTTAAGGAGTAGGCTATTTTTTAGTAACTTTGTTTTAATATAGAATAAATATAAAGTGGTTTTTGAAGCCTTTTTAGTTAGTTTGATGTTGTGCTGAGCTATTGGGATAGATAGTGAAGATGACTTTTTAGCCGAAATTGTTCTCCCTCAGGCATTATAAAAAGACAGCGGAATACATTTGAAGAAATATCATCTGAATTTAGCTATTTAAAGAAGAAGGAAATAAAAAGATCCTAGGAGAAAGCATTTTTAACTTTTGCTCTTCTTAAGAATTTTACTTTTAAATGTACAGCCTTAATCATGACAGTTTAGATTGTGAAGACTCTTGTCAAAAGAAGCTACGTTGCCAAGTATTTTAAATGCTGTTATTGACTATATTTTTCTGGACTTAATAAACCTATGTTCGATTTTATTTTATTTTTGTAGAAATCACTGAGTCATTTGATTATTTTTCTATTCTTTTTTAATGGTATTATTACATTTTTGGAACATTACTCTTCTTAAGGGTTATTAAGTTGTACCAATAATATTTTACTATACATCATAGTTGCATTAATAGGGAGTATGTTTTAACTCTGGAATTCTAATCGAATGAACACCAATTTGATTACAGATAAGATGAACCAATATAGTACTTCCATCTATATGATTTTCGCAAGTAAAAGTCTTTTCTTGCTTATAGGTTGATCAGATTATTCTAAGATACATGAAATATACTTTTTTAGTCCTTTTTTTTTTTTTTTTTTGATGGAGTCCTACTCTTTTGCCCAGGCTGGAGTGCAGCGGCGCGATCTTGGCTCACTGCAACCTCTGCCTCCCGGGTTGAAGCAATTTTCCTGCCTCAGCCTCCAGAGTAACTGGGATTACAGGCACCTGCCACCATGCCCAGATAATTTTTATATTTTTAGTACAGACGGGGTTTCACCATGTTGGCCAGGCTGGCCTCCAACTCCTGATCTTAAATGATCCATCTGCTTCAGCCTCCCAAAGTGCTGGGATTACAGGTGTGAGCCACCATGCCCAGCCACCTTCTTTCTTTACATGGGCTAAAATAGTAATCCATTAGAAAGTGCAAACCTAGATAGATAGCATACATCAAGTAATTTAAAACTGGTTGAATTATATATAATTATGTAATTTCCATTAAATATAGATTCCAGTTTTGAAGATTTCATTTCAGCATCTTAGATGATCTTTGAACAAGGGGTTCAGGCCACAAAAAGAGATCTTGAGAAATTGCACATGATTGCTGTCACTATTTATAAAATGTTCCATTTTTCTTTTCTCTTATAAAGACTCTGAGATCTGTGAAATCTCTATAATTCCTAAAAATTTTCTTCCTCTTTAGAGTGAGCATACTTTGCCTTGCAGATTTCTAGAGAAAATTAGATTAAAGTGATTTAATATTCATCTTTAACACATTTAGAAAGGTTTTGTTTTTTTTGGATGCTAAGCTGTCTAATTTCTTAAATACACAATAGGTACATTTCATCTGGCTTGGTTTGTTTTACCCACAGGTATTGAAAATGTTGAACCTCCAGTTACCAGATTACCTTCTCATTGTGTTATCTTCTATATTATAAATCTTCATTTTGTACCCTAATAATATTTCTTTTTTTCAGATATATGGAGGGTTATAATTAGAATATTAGGGACTAGATAGCATTTATAAAGTCAAAAACCACAAAAGAAATGGAGTTAACTTGAAATCGAAATTAATTGAGTTAAACATAAAGAAGAAGTTTTTGGTACTCATAGCATGTGATTCTTCTGTAAATGTTGATGAAGATACTAATTAAAAAATTATTTAGGGAGTCATAGCTTCAAAATTAAAGAAAATATTAAGTAGGAAAAATTTGCATTGTCATAGTTTCATTTACCTTAATAAATTTCTTTTTTTTTCTGTAGGTTATGACTTTTGTTCTGAAAGGCATAACTGCATGGAGAATTCCATCTGCAGAAATCTGAATGACAGGGCTGTTTGTAGCTGTCGAGATGGTTTTAGGGCTCTTCGAGAGGATAATGCCTACTGTGAAGGTAATCCTTGTAATGATGTGTAGCTCAGCTGTATAAATTTTCTAGGATTACTGCATGCAAAATTTATTAAGTTCCCAGGTTGTCAAGTTGATGGGCCCATTAAAAGCAGTGAATTTAATTTGAAGCATATTAATCAGCTAAAAATAATTATCTTTCAAATTAAAGTTTTTCAGCTATCTGCTATATGTCACACTAATAAGTTGATATGGCTGGTTTCTTGAATTAGAACAATTCTTCCACTGTGAAATTGCCTTCTTTTTTTTCATAATTAGATATTCAGATAGCTCACATATTGACATGATTACTGTGGCTTGCAGTTAGAATCGTAGTCAGATTTTTCCAGACAGTGTTGTGTAACAAAGGCAATCACTTAACAGGAAGATAAAGTGCCTACTGCTATTTCTGTTTGCTACTATAAGTAATCTAAGTGGTTGTATTCATGCTCTGTAGTATTTAGTAAATAGCTCCAGTGGAGTAAATCATTTTCTAGTTAATTTTTAAAAATCTTAACTAATATCCAAGATAGTTTATTCTCTCATGGAAACTGTCCACATACAGTGAGTGGACTCTTGGCATTTGCAAATGCTCTGGCTTTGACTCTTCCTGACGAAGTCCATGAGATGTGGTAATTTATGATTTCCCTGAGGTATGGATTTGAATCATTCCTGTTAATTGTGTAACTAGCTAATGAGTTCTACAAATAAGAACATTGATTTAGAGGTGTTTGGGCATTCAGAGAAAGTTTTGGAGAGTTCTAAACTTACCCACTCCACATGAAAAGCATATGTCATAGATCTGTGGAGATGGAAAACCTCAGGTATAAACACACAGCTTCTGTTTAGCTGCAGGATGATTTGTTGGCTCTCGGGAAACCAACTTCTGTTGTTTCCCTTAGCTTAAATAGTTTTTTCTTTTTCTTAAAAATCCTTATTCATTTTTTAAATTGACCTTTGGATTAAAATATTTCTTTAAATGCTACTGATTCAGTCCTAAAGGGATCATTCCAGTTTTGCAGAAGAAAAGAAATATGGCTTCCCTTCCCCATTCATAATGCAGATTTATTTAAAATTCCTCATCTTAAAAGATTTTTCATAAAAATGGATTTTTACCCTTACATAACATAGAGGTAAACTTTCTTAGGAAACTAATGTATTTTGATTATAATATTTGAGATTTCTAACATGTAACAAGCCCCTCTGGTAGTTTATATGTATAACATGAAACTACATGATACAAATTCATGTGATACTTTGTTTTGAATTTTACTTATATGATTATTGCTTTTTTTTAAATTTTGAGCTGCTTTTGATGCTACTAAGTATATTCGATCATGTAATAAATATTTAGTAAGCACCTACTGCATCCTGAACACTTTTCTAGGCTTGATGTAAAGTGGAGTAAATGATGGACAAGACTTAAGAATTTCCCGTGCTCAGGAGCTTTACATTCTGGGAGCTAAGACAGAATTAGTGGGTGACTATAGAACTAGAGAAGACAATTTCGGGTAGTAAAAATTAATAGGAAGAAAATGAAACAGGATGATGTGTTAGAGATTGGCTGGGGATTTATTCAGAGTGGTCAACCTCTGGGACAGGGAGTGAGGGGAGAGTGGTGGTAACCTGAGACTTGATGATAAGAGAGGAAACAGCCATGTAATAATCTTGGATAGAACACTTCAACCAGAAGAATAAAAAGTGGAAAGGCTCTAAGTGGGAATGAGCTTAGAATGCTCTAGGAACAAAATGAAGGAAAACGTAGTGGAGCGGACAAAAGAAGGAAATCCTGTTGGAGAATTAGGCAGGGGCCAGGTAATGTAGGAAAGTTTGCAAGGATTTCAGAGTTGCATCAAGGAGGAGAGTGATATGCTCAGCCCTGTATTGAAAAGGATAGTTCTGGCTCCAGTGTGATAGATGAACTATTGTGTTGGGAGTGATGGGGAGCTGTGGAAATTGGAGATGAGTTGGAAGGCTATTGCAGTAGTCCAGGTAAAGATGTTGATGGCCTGGATAAGGAAAGTTATAGGAAGTGAAGAGGAGTAAGGTATATTCATAGTACGTTTTGAAAGTAGAGCCAAAAATACTTGCAGTTAGTTTATTGTGGTGTAGAATTGATCAAAAGGAGCCAAGATTTGGAATCTGAGCAACACATGGATGGCATTGAGACAGGAAAGAAGTTAAGGAAAGGGGCCAGAGATTTAGATTACCTTACTTGTTTAATGCAGCTTACTGAAAATTGGCCTAATCATAAAGACCAAGTCACTCAGTTTTTATCTGGAAGTGTTCTGGATAAAATCTGTGGCACAGGTTGGCAGCTGTTTTCATCTTGAATGCACTATACAATGACAGATGTTTTACAACTTTATACTAATTGTCATTTAAATATATAATCTTCAAAACATAAGAAAGTGATGGAAAAATTTGTTGAACATATATCATCAAATTCAAGATATCTTGAATTTTTTTATATATAAGGACTTCTAATATATCTTTTGTTATTTATTCCAAATAACAATATTATTCAGGATTTGAATAATTCTTATCAAATATGGCTTTCCTTTTGATTATGGCATGGTTGCTAACTTTGAGGATGTTTTGACTTCTTAGAAGGAACACCTTTTTAAACATTTTTAATGCAATTTTGCATGGTATATATTTGGTCCTTAAATAAATTACACTTGTGATTATACATAAAAATAAGCAAGCCATTGTTTGCAAATAACATACAATTTTATTTACTAAATCTGTGGGGTTGCTTAATGATATGACTGTAATTGAGACTATTGATTTTTACTAATAGTTTTCCTGATCATGGTTATCATAACACTGGTAACTACTGGAGTTCATTCACTCATTTGATAAATATTTATTGAGTACTTACTTTGTGCAAGGTTAGAGATAAGGATAAAGCAGTAAATTAGATATACATGACTAATATTCTGTCAGGCGAAGAAGATAATTAACATGCCATTTCATTACACCAAAGAACATTTCATTGCAAATGTGGCAACTATTCTAAAAGAGAAATAGATTAATAGGGCATATGATCTGGGTGGTGGGGTTAGGGAAAATTTTGCTTGAACAAGAAGAGTTTTATTCTGGAATCTGAAGGGTAAGTAAAAGTCAGGGAATCATAGAAGGAAGAGTAGAAAAGAAGAGAATTTCTTACATGGGTAAATCAGCATATCTAAGGGCCTTCAGGTAGAAAGAAGGACTTTTTAAGAACCAAAGGAAGGCCAGTAGCAGAGAGCACAGGAGAGGTGCCCAGTGAGACTGATAATGAGAAGCAGGATCTTGAAGGTCACACTAAAGATTAAGAGTTTCATGTTAAGAACAAGGGACAGCTAATTAAAGATTTTAAGATGAGAAGTTTCGTGATCACACTTGTGTTTTAAACATATCACTCCAGCTGTAGGATGAACAGGAGAAAGGCTGGATGCAGGGAAACCAATGGACGAAAGCCAGTGAGGGCTTGTCTTAAAAATGTAAGTGGAGATGTGGATGCATCTAAGAGCATTTGTGAGGTAAAACCAGCCAGTCTTGATTAATTGGTGGTAGTAGATGATGAGGAGAGAGGTTTAGAGGTTGATTCCCAGGTTTCTGGACTAATAAATAGGCAGATGTTGGTGCTGCTCACTTAGGGAACAGATTGAGTGAGAAAATCATGATGGGTTTGGAGTGCCTATGGGACATCTAAGGTGAGTAACTAGTTGAATATACTTCAATTTGGCATTAAGGGAAGTTTAAGTTAGACAGAAAATTTGGAATTCTTTGGCATCTAAATGTTAGTTGAGGAGACGGAAGGGATTGTCTAGAGAGTTTTGAGCAACATTTGAGCATTTTATAGAAAAGATTATTTGGTGATGGCGATAGCAAACTCATGGCTGAAACGTAGGAGGAGAGAGAAGAGCAGGTGGTGTCACAGAAGCCAAGAGAAGAGAGAATTTTAAGAAGAAAGTAGGATGTGTCTGAGAGATCAAGAAAAATGAAGACTGAAAGATGTCCTTTGCGTTGAACCTCACAGATGACATTGAGGACAGCAATAGTGATTTTGGTACAAAGTTGGTGATACAAGCCAGTTTGGAGTACATTGAATATTGTCTAAGGGAAAAAAATGAACCTGGAGAAAGGAGAGAGAGTTCTTCTAGGTGTTTGCCTACAAAGGGATGGAAAAAGGAAGTAGCTTAAGGGACCTGAAGCTAAAGAAGGGATTCTTCTGCCCGACCCACTTTTTCTCATTTAACTTCTGTACCCTTTCTCCTTGCCCCAGTATCTCAGCCAGGCAGATGATAACTTCTTGTTCTTCAGTGAGTTTTGCAACACCTCAGATATTTATAAACATAGTATAATATTAGGATTTTATAACAGCATGGCTTGTCTAGCTTTTCCTATAAGGGATCTAGAATGTCTGGAAGTATATTGGCCTACTTTAGTGTTTTGTTAACTGCATGCTTATCACATTTCTCTTTAAAAAATTATATATTCATCGCCATCCATCCATCTCACCTCCTATAGATTTCTTACTACATTTTTAAATATTTTACCTCTCATCTGGTATTTTGTCACTACATATAAGATATAAAAGTTGTCAAAAATTATGTTGGACATCCTGTTTTTCAGACTGGTTTTTTGCTACATGTCTTCACTTGACACTGAAAATTATGGGATCTTTTGATGTTTTGACTATATCTTCTATCCTCACATTCCACTATTCAGTATTATTTTAGAGTTATCTTGGCATTCTATTTTAGATGGTGGCTTCTGGAGTCATTTTGTAAGTTTCTTTCTTCAGTGCATAATAGTTGCTGGGGATGACAGCTGTGTCAGTCCAATAGCGCATTACAATGAAGAAGTTTTTTGTGATTTCCAAACTGTGATTTTCCTATCTAAGCCTTTGACATTATACCAAGAACAGGAAGAGTCCTGCATAAGTGAGTCATTTATATGATTGCATGTCACACATAATTATAAAAATTGGTAATTGATGCCTTATTAATGAATTTTAAAGTAAGTTTGTGAGACATTTCTTCAAATTAACAAGAATATGGGAAATAGTTTAGTATAGTCTGAGCCCACCTCCAAGTACCTAATTTCTTACTGATAGCCTAGTTTCTCTTGGATTCATTCAATCTCTTTCATTCTGATTCCTGCCTCCAGGTGTCATTTTTCACTTCATGTCACCTGTTTAGACATTCTGCCTCCTTTGTCTCTTCCTACTCCTAACCAGCCAGGACCCACTCTCCAGATTAACATTCATAAAACATCATTTATTCTACTTGAGTGTTCACAGTGCCTTCTTCTTGCTCACCACATCAAGTCTGAACTTCTTTGCCCAGCTTCCAGGGCTGTATGTCACCTGGTCACATGTAGCTATTTATCCATTAGCCCTGAGCAGGTCACCTACCATAATCATTTCTTTTGCTGATAATGATTCATCTGAGTTATGAATTGAATTATGTTACCCTCACACCCCACCTCACATTTACATTCTCATTTTAACCATGAGCATCTGAGAATGTTACCTTATTTGGAAATAGGGACGTTGCAGATTTAATGTGTTAAGATGAGATAAAATCATGCTGGAGGAGGGTGACACCCTATTCCAGTATGATCACTTTCATTATAAAAAGGAGAAATTTGGATACAGACACATAGGGAAATTACACTATGTGAACATGAAGTTATCAGGTGAACATGAAGACAGAGATCAGGATGATGTGACTTTAAGCCAAGGAAAACCAAAATCACTAGCAAAGCACCAGCAGCTAGGTGAGGAGCATGGAACAAGTTGTACTTCACAGCCCTCAGAAGGAACCAATCCTGTCAACACCTTGATTTTGGACTTCTAGCCTCCAAAACTGTGAGACAATAAGTTTCTGTTGTGCAAGACACCCAGTTTGTGGTACTTTATTATGGCAGTCCTAGAAAACTAATACAATCTGGCAGACATGCCTTTAGCTTTTTGGCTTAACAGTCCATGATTTAATCATTCTTACAGACTCTGCTTGATTTTTATCTTCTCTGTGAAGATTTCCTGATGAATTTATTGTGTGCATATAATTACTTTCTCATGTTCTCTTTTTATCTTATCTGACTGAACGATTAGCACTTTATATTGGCTTATATCCAGTTGTTCAGCTGGAGTATACAACACATCCTCAAATAACGTCATTTCATTTAATGTTGTTTCATTATAATGTTGATGAGAAAAAATATATATATTCCTGACTGGGGCCACAGTCTGTGTGGAGTTTGCACATTTTCCCCATGTCTGTGTGGATTTTCCCTGGATACTCCAGTTTCCTCCATACCCCAAAGCTGTATATGGTAGACTCATTGGCGTATCCAAATGGCCCCAGTGTGAGTGACTGTGGGTGTGTGTGAGTGGTGTTATGATGGAATGACATCCTGGTCAGGGCTGGTTCCTGCCTTGTCCCCTGGGCTGCCCGGTCAGGCTCCAGCCATCACCAACCCTGAACTGAAATAAGTGGGTAAATAATTATCTTACTTGTTTTTTTAGTGGTTCTTAAATGTATGTATAGCTCACGTTTATTTCCATGTTTAATATTAGAAGTGTTTTGGTCTTTAGTTAGAAGTTTGGTGATGTTTCTGTGACCAGAAATATGCTGAAAGAACTTAACCCTTATTTACAACTATTATTAGCCTATGTTAAAGTTGGTTACATTCGTTATATGCCATTTCATTTAAAGTTGCCATTTCCAAGAGCCTACCTATGTTAAGCGAGGAGGCCTTACTGTACTTTATTATATACTGTGTTATTTATTAATTCAGATGTGTTATTTATTCATTCAGAATTCAATATATGTATCTGTGTATACTTCCCTCAACTATAAGTGCCTAGTAATCACAGCCTGTTTATTTTCCTTGAATTCTCACAAACTTCTAAAATAGAGGCAATGTAGAGCCTAAGAAAGATTTGTTTACTGATAGTTTGAAATGCTTAGATATGCTGAACTGATGGGCACCATTAGGCTGACTCATCACTAAAGAATGACTCAGGGCAAGCACTGAGTTTATTGAGTTGTGTTTATATTATATATAAGAAAATCTAATCATGATACTGACTTTTGTAGCTAAAAAGGGATTGAGTTTTAAATTGATTTCTATTGGGCTTTAAAAATTATTCTGAATAGTGCAAGAAAAGGAATTTGTTCATTCATAACATTCATTATTTATTAAATTGTATGTGCACTGATTAAATAACATACACATTAAAAGGACCTCAACTATTAGAAGTTTCCCCATCTTCACAATTGCTTTTACAGAACACTCATTTTTTCCCCTAAGATTTGAATTCTACCTAAAATTTGCAAAGCAACTCACTTCAACATGAAATATCTGGTATGTATAAGGTGCGTAATAAATACCAGTTGACTCTGAAGATGGGAATCTTAGTAAACATTTGTTTACTAAGCACATGTGATGTGCCAGAGTTGGAATCCTCAAACATTAACTAATAAGTTTTTGTATTTAGACATCTTAGACATCTAGTTCAAGTAACTGTTTTTTAAACTTCATCGTTTATATCAATAAAAACACTGATTTCTCCCACCTCATTCCTGTCTTTGTAATGCTATCTTTTGGCCAATGATGCCTCTTCTACCCTCTTTCTTGTTCTGCATTTCAGGGAATTCTAGCCTATGTACAAAATAATGTGAGCAAAACTATGGTTCTTTGGAGGCATTTAAAATGCTTTTCACTTATCATGGGTTTCTGTTTGTTTTTGAGGCAGGGTCTCACTCTGTTGCCTAGGCTGGAGTGCAGTGGTGCAATCATGCCTCATTGCAGCCTCAGCCTCTTGCCCTCAAGCAATCCCCCCACCTCAGCCTCCCAAGTAGCTGGGCCTACAGGCATGCACCACCATGCCTGGCTAATTTATTTTTATTTTTTTATTTTTAAATTTTTTTGGAGAGACATGGTTTCACTGTGTTGCCTAGGCTGGTCATATATATGATCTTATTTCCTCCAACAGTCCTATGATGATGAAAGCTTTATTGTAATCTATTTTGACTCCTTCAAAATCATTTACCCAGGCAGCAAACAGTAAATTTGGGGTTCAAATTCATGTCATCTGTCTTCAAATTCTGTGGACTTTTTCTCTTTACCACTTTTAATTAATTTTTTAGAGGCAGGGTCTCACTGTGCCATCATGCCCGGCTAATGATTTTACTTTTGGTAGAGATGGGGTCTTGCTTTGTTGCCTAGGATGGTCTCAAACTCCTGGGCTCAAGTGACCATCCCACTCAGCCTTCTTAAGTGCTAGGATCACAGGCATGAGCCAGTATGCCCAGACTAATTATTGAATCTAGTTATTTTTATAAGAAAGAGTAGCATAAGATTTTTCTTTAGAAAGGCATTTTTAATCGTAGTTAACTACTTTAAAAATTGAATGCTGCTTCTTCTTTTTTTTTTTTTTTTGAGACGGAGTCTCGCTCTGATTCTGTATTTCATCCAGAAAGCAGCTCATTGCCATTAGAGAAATCATGTAACCAACCTCCTTTGCTCCAGCATTTTCTCCTTCTTTCCCTCCCTCTCTCCTTTCCTCCCTCCCTCCCCTCTTTCCTTCCTTCTTTTCTTCCTTCCTCTCTCCCTCCTCTTTCCTCCCTCCCCCTCTCTTCCTCTGCCCCTCCCTCCCTTCCTCCCTCTCTTCCTTCCTTCCTTTCTTCCTTCCTTCATTTTTTCCTTTTACCCCTTTGGCCTCCTTTCTTCTCTTTTTTTCAGCTGCTTACCATCTCACAACTAACTTGTTTAGTGATGAATTCCTGACATAACCATATTTGCATATGATTAACTGTGAGATATAGAGGAAATCTGAAAGGATTCCTTTAAGAGTAAGATGAGCGATAGCCTCACAAAGTTGCTCCAAGAGATATGAAGGGAAAGCTACAGAATGCACTCAATTCTCTGATTGCAAACCCAGCACACAAGTCCCTGCTGGATCTAATGGGAGGCTTGCTAACAGCTAGGAGAAATAACCTAGAGAACTGAGCTCTATGGGATTAATTAGGGAACTCGAGCAGACACTGTCACTTTCAAAACTGTCATTAATGATGCACTCTCTGTGGTATATATTATGGTAGAATTTCTTAAATAAAAAAAAAAAAGTCTAAGGATACTGTATTAGTCAGGGTTCTCCAGAAAAACAGAACAAACAGGATGTGTGTGTGTGTGTGTGTGTGTGTGTGTGTTTGTATGTGTGTTGTATATTATATACATATGTGAGATTTATTATTATAAGGAATTGGCTCACATGATTATGGAGGTTGTCAGGTCTCAAAATCTGGAGTGGGTAAGCTGGAGACTCAGGAGAGCCAGTGGTATAGTTTCAGTCTGAGTCCAAAGGCCCGAGATTTGGAGACTCAATGATATAAGTTCCAGTCCGAGGTTAGGAGAAGACCAACGTTCTAATTCAAGGACTCAGGCAGATGAAATTTCCCTCTTACTCAGTCTTTTTGTTCTATTCAAGTCTTCAATTGATTGTATGAGGCCTGCCCACGTTAGGGAGGGATAATCTGCTTTACTCAGTCTACAGATTCAAATGTTAATTTCATCCAGAAACACCCTCACAAACACACCCAGAATAATGCTTTACCAAATGTCTGGTTACCACCTGGCCTAGTCAAGTTGTCACATAAAATTAACCATCACAGGTAAAATTTAAAAGAGAAAGAGAGAGAAGAGCAAAAGTATTTCTGATGTTTCCAAATGTCATGACTTGACCTTTTAATGGCTTCATCTATCCATTCAACCAAGTGGAAAAGTTGCTACATAAAACAGCTTTCAGGATTAATATGATATATGGAAACATTATTTTTAGGCTTTGAGGAACATCTGTGTAACATATTTACAATACTGAGGAAATAATGGATTTATTTTTTCATGAGAATCATTCCTTCTTCAATTAAAGAATTTTGTTATGGAAGTTCTGAAAATCCCTACTAAGTGACATAGCTAAATTTGAACTTGCATTAGCTATTCATCTGGGCTCATTCATCATTTACTTTCTATTGTGCTTCAACTTTCTCAGACTCAAAACAATTTCCATTCATTTCTAAACTTGAACACCATTAAGACATTCAAATAAGAGAAAAGGACATTTTAAAATTTGAAGCAAAGGTCTCCTTTGATAGGAGAGGATTTTGAAATTTATAAATGAAACCTGATAAAGATGAAACCGTTCTAAATTTCTTCTTAGGCGTGGTTTCTCATACAAAGCTAATTGAAGACACAATCAATGCTATCCATATACAGGCATACCTTGGAGATATTGCTGGTTTGTTTCCAGACCACTGCAATAAAGCTAATATTGCAATAAAGCAAGTCATATAGACTGTTTTGTCTCCCAGTGCATATAAAAGTTATATTTACACTCTACTGTAGTCTAAGTGTGCAATGTCATTATGTCTTTAAAAATGTATGTATCTTAATTTAAACATATTTTACTGCAAAAAATGCTAACAATCGTCCGAGCCTTCAGAGAGTCATAATAATATTTTTGCTGATGGAGGGTCTTGCCTCAATGTTGATGGCTGCTGACTGATCAAGGAGATAGTTGCTGAAGGTTAGGATGGCTGTGGAAATTTCTTAAAATAAGATAACGATGAAATTTGTCAACTGACTCTTCCTTTCATGAGAGATTTCTCTGTAGCATGCAATGCTATTTGATAGCATCTTATCTACAGTAGAACTTTTTTCAAAATTGTAATCAGTTCTCTTAAACCCTGCTGCTGCTTTATCAACTAAATTTTTGTGATATTCTAAATTCTTGGTTGTCATTTCAACAATGCTCATAGCATCTTTACCAGGAGTAGATTTCATCTCAAGAAACTACTTTCTTTGCTTATTCATAAGAAACAATTTCTCATCTGCTCAAATTTTAACATGAGATTGCAGCAATTCAGTCACATCTTCAGGCTTCATTTCTAATTCTAGTACTCTTACTATTTCCACTACATCTGCAGCTACTCCCTCTACTGAAGTCTTGAACCACTCAAAGTCATCTATGAGGGCTGGAATCAACTTATTCCAAACTCTTGTTAGTGTAGTTATCTTGACCTCTTCCAATGAATCACAAATTTTCTTACTGTCATCTAGAATGGTGAATCTTCCCCAGAAGGTTTTCAACTTACTTTGCCCAGATTCTTGAGAGAAATCACTATCTATGGCAGCTATAGTCTTAAGAAATATATTTCTTAAGTAATAAGACTAGAAAGTCTAAATGACTCCTTGATTCATGAGCTGTAGAATGGATGTAGTGTTAGCAGCCATGAAAACATTAATCTCCTAGTGCGTTGCCATCAGAGCTCTTGGGTGACTAAGTACATTGTCAATGGGCCACAATAATTTGAAAGGAATACTTCTTTATTCTGAACAGTGGACTTTAAATCTTTAGTAAAACGTGGTATAAACAGATGTGCGGCTGTCATCTAGGCTTCATTGTTCCATTTATAGAGCATAGGCAGAATAGTTTTAGCATAATTCTTAAGGGCCCTAGGGTTTTTGAAATGGTCAATGAGCAATGGCTTCAACTTAACGTCACCACAACTGCGTTAGCCCCTAACAAGAGAGTCAACCTCTCCTTGGAAACTATGAAGCCAGCATTGACTTCTGTCTCTCTAGCTGTAAAAGTTCTATATGGCATTTTCTTCTAATAGAAGGTCATTTTGTCTTGATTGAAAACCTGTTGTTTAGTGTAGCTAACTTGGCCAATGGTCTTAGCTGGATCTTCTGAACAACTTACTGCAGTTTGTACATCAGCGCTTGCTGGTTCACCTTCCACTTTTCTGCTATAGAGATGGCTTCTTTCCTTAAACATAATGAGCCAACTTCTGCTAGCTTTAAACTTTTCTTCTGCAGCTTCATCACCTCTCTCAGCCTTCTAGAATTGAAGAGGGTTCAGGCCTTGCTCTTGATTAGGCTTTGGCTCAAGGGAATGTTGTGGTTGATTTTATCTTCCATCCATACCACTCATACTTTCTCCATGTCATCAATAAGACCATTTCACTTTCTATAATTCATGTGTTCTGTGGAGTAACACTTTTATATTCCTTCCTTTGCATTTACAACTTGGCTAACTGGCTCCAGAGGCCTAACTTTCGGCCTGTATTGACTTTCAACATGCCTTCCTCACTAAGCTTCATCATTTCTCTGTTTTGATTTACAACAAGAGACGTGCAACTCTTCTCACTTGAACACTTATTAATTGGCCTAATTTCAATATCGTTGTATCCCAGGGAATAGCGTGGACTGAGGAAAGGGGGCGAGATGGGAATGGCCAGTCAGTAGAGCCATCAGAACACACACAGTTATCGATTAAGTTTGCCATCTTGTATGGGCAGTGTTCTTAGTGCCTTAGGAGAATTCGAATAGTAAAATCAAGACCATTATTCACAGATAACCCCAACAGATGTAATAGTAATGAAAATTTTTGAAATATTATGGGAATTTCCAAAACGTGACATGGAGACATGAAACAAGCACCTGCTGTTGGAAAAATGGTGCTGGCAGACTTGGTCAATGTAGGGTTGTCACAAACCTTCAGTTCATAAAAAGCACATTATCTGTAAAAGGCAGTTGAAGTGAACTGCAATAAAACAAGGTATGCCTGTATTCTTCTTTTTAAACAGCTCCCCACAGTTGTATGACTTTCATGGTCAGCTGATTTTTCCCCCCTCAACTTAATGACTTACCTATAAAATATTCATAATCAAGTCTATTAGAGATCATGATTGCTTTGGATGCTATATAGGGAAGAAATAATAAATTAAGTCATCAATTAGTGATATAGCTGTATGTTAAATAGCACTAGGAACAAGCACTTTTTTCTGAGGTGGATCTATAGGTTCTTCTTGGGAATTTGATTTTTGATTGGCTTCTATCATCAGAAATAATATAGAGACTCTTTATTCAGCATTCATTTATTCACAGTATTTGTTAAGCACACACTATGTACCATGCATATAATAGGTGTTGGTCATATAGTCATGAGCAAAACCCTCCTACTAAACCGCTGCCTTCATGGAGTTGACTTACTAGCAGAGGTGACATTCTAAAATCTCTGCCCATTTTCCAGATGCAGGAGGAAATGAGAATTGTGATTGATGTTTTTGTGCTTTGTTAAAAATAAGTAATCCTGTTTTTATACTCCTTTGGCAGTTTTTTTTTTTTCAAGACCTCAGTGTTTGAGGTCCAACATGTGATCCAAAGACCAGCAACATGGGCCACCATCTAGGAGCTTGTTAAAAATGCAGAATCTTATACTTTATCTCAGTCCTTCTGAATCAGAACCTGCATGTTAACAAGATCTCCAGGTGATTTCTGTGCATACAAAATTTGAAGAGAGCAGGTTTTTGGTGTAGAGTTTATTAATTTATCATCTTAATAATTTAGTGGCTATCTAATTCTTTTCAGCTATATGCTCAACTGGAGAGGAATTTTAGTGTTTACGTTCTCAGCTTATTTTCATCAGTATAAAATTTGGTTTTCTAACACTGTATCTTAGAATGTGTTTCAGGCTGCATCAAAACCACCTGAGGATCTTATGAAAAATGCACATTCCTGGACACAACCTTAATATTGCTTGAGTAGGTCAGGGTTGGGTCTCAAATTTTTACAAGCTTCCCAGGCAATTCTTATGCACATTAAAGTGGGAGAAGGACTATTTTTAGGCTAGTTTTACATTGATGTCTTTCTAAGGATGGATTTTTAAAAATTATTTTTGAGTCTTTAGTTTATGTGTTCCTGCCTAGAAAGATGAATTATTCGATCTCCGATCATATATTCCTGTGTATCAGAGTGTTTTTTGTTTTAACCAGGGTTTCTCAACCTCACACTGTTGACGTTTTGTACTAGATAATTCTTTGTTCTGTGGGGCTGTCCTGTGCATTGTAGGATGTTTAGCAGCATCCCTGATCTCTACCCACTAGATGCCAGTAGTACACCTGTGCCAGCCCACATTCCTAGCTGTGACAACCAAAAATGTTTGTAGACATTGCCAAATTTACTCTGAAGAGCAAAATTGCTCTCAGTTGAGAATAATTGGTTTAAACTAAATAAAGAAAAGGAGCATGGTTGTATGTGAGTATGACTGCCACCCCAAGTATCTATTGTTACTATTTGATTCTCTTGAGGGCTTATGCCAAGGGTGAAGAGAAATGTATGTATGGGGACATAAGGGCTGCCTGGCCCTGTGGGTTGGTTTCAACACTCTATGGTGAGAGAGATATAATATGATGATGGGGAAGAGGAAAAACTCTTACATTTAGTACAGAAACAAGGCTACTGAAGAACCTATGGGCTAAAGAACAAAACAAAATTAGGTATAAAAACTTTTATTTTTTCATTTTTGAGTCTTTCTGAATATGCTTCTGAAGACTGAAGATGCTTTGTATTATATAAAATGTAGCTAAAGCATTTTATATAATAGCTTTGTGGACGAGATCTCCTTTCAAAGGGACAATAGGGACATAGAAATATGTACTAGCTTTGGCAGAGACTCAGAGTACATGGAAAAGGCCCAGAGGATGGCCAGGGGCAGGGTAGAGGGGAGTGGCAGTATGTAAGTGTTGATTTATTCCTGAACTCATAGGAACACCGAGTGCACTCAGAAGTAATTGGGGAGACTTTGAAGGGCAACCTCAGATTTATTAGCAGCCAGGAAAATTTGTATCCACAGCCTGTAATATTATTGAATTTCTGGTATGACTTTGAGTTTTGTTTGGCCCACTATTCTTAACAGATTGCTTACCTTTGCATTTCTTCGTAGTGTGATGGAAACATTTACTAGCCACCAATGTTAAACAAGTATTTATAATTGTTACTCTTTTACTAGTCAGTTGTGTGGATACTGAAAAGTAAATAAGAGCAAATAACTTATTTTGGACACATTCCTTGTACATAGTCATTCTAGTATGTGAATACACACTTTGCAGATTTATGTGTGCAGCCAACTATAATTATTTTTTAAAAATGCCAAATTTGGAGATTTAACACGCAGATGAATGTAAAGGATTTGTATGGATCAAATCAAAATCTGTCTATCTGTGACAAACAAGCGCATTGCTGATGTATGGAAAGAACATTGCCCAAGAAGACTTGAATTCTTACCTCTGCTGTTTACTAACTGTGGGAACTTGCGAAAATTGTTTAACATCTCAGAGCCTCAGCCTCCTCGTCTATTAAAATGGGGGACATTTTTCTTATGAGGTTGTTAGGGAAGCAAAGATTAAGTACGATTAAAAATGTGAAAATGTCTTCCAGAAAAATAAGTCAGTAAAAGTTTGTCATTAAGCTTGTATACTTCACATGTATTTATTATTGTCAGTGTATCAGTTAATTCATTCAATATTATTTTATTTTTGGAACTAAAATATTAATTTACTGGAAACTAGAGACAACAGGACTCTTAGAGTCTGTATAATGATATTGTCATATATTTGAAGCCAATTATAATGAAATCTGTAGCTACTTCAGTAACTAAGTTACCATGGGTTATTTCCAGAACCAAACTGCTTTATGCCAAGTTCTTTTCTGGTCTGAATAATATTCTAACCAGTGCTTCAATATAGAATATGTGTAATTTGTTCTCATTTTGAAAATTATATGACAAGTCTTTAAATTTTACTATGGGGATTCATGTTATTTTTCTGTAAATAAATAGCAGGTTAAAATACTTGATAATTACATTGCATGAAGTTGTTTATTAATATTAGAGAGAAATTGCTTAGAATTAAGCAATTCATTTTAAACAAATTAGTTGCAGGTATCTTATGTGATGCAGCCATTTATTATCATTTTTCATTACAGAAATGCAAATTATTAAAAATAATAAATTGCCTCCCTGGAAAGGAATCCATTTGAAGTAACATATAAGACACCACATGATTAACAGCTTTAAAAAATCTAATTGATTTAAAAAGTCTTTTTGCAACTTCATTAAGTTTAAGGTCAGGTATGCATAGAGATTAAATTATAAATACCAACTTTATCTTTTCTTCTAAGAAATACAACTCACATGTTCTGGTTATATTTGTTGAAAGTCCTGAAGTCAATTAACAACTGCTTGCTTGGAGTGAAACATAACTCTTAGCATTCCTTTTGCTTTCTCTTCCTCTATCCATTAGCTTTCAAAAAGAAGAACTAACTCTAGTATAAAATAAGATTATCACGAACACCAAAGACATCTGAAAAAAAGGCTTGGAGATAGGAAGTGGAAGCTTGGGCCTGGTTAATGACAGGAAAACCTTTTAGCTAGAAATATATAAGAATTGCACAAAGAGGGGGAGGAGCCAAGATGGCCGAATAGGAACAGCTCCAGTCTACAGCTCCCAGCGTGAGGGACACAGAAGACGGGTGATTTCTGCATTTCCACCTGAGGTACCGGGTTCATCTCACTAGGGAGTGCCAGACAGTGGGCGCAGGTCAGTGGGTGCGCGCACCATGGGCGAGCCAAAGCAGGGCGCGGCATTGCCTCACTCGGGAAGCGCAAGGGGTCAGGGAGTTCCCTTTCCTAGTCAAAGAAAGTGGTGACAGACAGCACCTGGAAAATCGGGTCACTCCCACCCGAATACTGCGCATTTCCGACGGGCTTAAAAAATGGTGCACCAGGAGATTATATCCCCCACTTGGCTCGGAGGGTCCTATGCCCGTGGAGTCTCGCTGATTGCTAGCATAGCAGTCTGAGATCAAACTGCAAGGGCTCGGGGAGGGGCGCCCACCATTGCCCAGGCTTGCTTAGGTAAACAAAGCAGCAGGGAAGCTAGAACTGGGTGGAGCCCACCACAGCTCAAGGAGGCCTGCCTGCCTCTGTAGGCTCCACCTCTGGGGGCAGGGCACAGACAAACAAAAAGACAGCAGTAACCTCTGCAGACTTAAATGTCCCCTTCTGACAGCTTTGAAGAGAGCAGTGGCGCTCCCAGCACGCAGCTGGAGATCTGAGAACGGACAGACTGCCTCCTCAAGTGGGTCCCTGACCCCTGACCCCCGAGCAGACTAACTGGGAGGCACCCCCCAGCAGGGGCAGACTGACACCTCACACGGCCGGGTACTCCAACAGACCTGCAGCTGAGGGTCCTGTCTGTTAGAAGGAAAACTAACAAACAGAAAGGACATCCACACCAAAAACCTATCTGTACATCACCATCATCAAAGACCAAAAGTAGATAAAACCACAAAGATGGGGAAAAAACAGAACAGAAAAACTGGAAACTCTAAAAAGCAGAGCGCCTCTCCTCCTCCAAAGGAACGCAGTTCCTCAACAGCAACGGAATAAAGCTGGAGGGAGAATGACTTTGACGAGCTGAGAGAAGAAGGCTTCAGACGATCAAATTACTCCGAGCTACGGGAGGACATTCAAACCAAAGGCAAAGAAGTTGAAAACTTTGAAAAAAATTTAGAAGAATGTATAACTGGAATAACCAATACAGAGAAGTGCTTAGAGGAGCTGATGGAGCTGAAAACCAAGGCTCGAGAACTACGTGAAGAATGCAGACGCCTCAGGAGCCGATGTGATCAACTGGAAGAAAGGGTATCAGCGATGGAAGATGAAATGAATGAAATGAAGCGAGAAGGGAAGTTTAGAGAAAAAGAATAAAAAGAAACGAGCAAAGCCTCCAAGAAATATGGGACTATGTGAAAAGACCAAATCTATGTCTGATTGGTGTACCTGAAAGTAATGGAGAGAATGGAACCAAGTTGGAAAACACTCTGCAGGATATTATCCAGGAGAACTTCCCCAATCTATCAAGGCAGGCCAACATTCAGATTCAGGAAATATAGAGAACGCCACAAAGATACTTCTCGAGAAGAGCAACACCAAGACACATAATTGTCGGATTCACCAAAGTTGAAATGAAGGAAAAAATGTTAAGGGCAGCCAGAGAGAAAGGTCGGGTTACCCTCAAAGGGAAGCCCATCAGACTAACAGCAGATCTCTCCGCAGAAACTCTACAAGCCAGAAGAGAGTGGGGGCCAATATTCAACATTCTTAAAGAAAAGAATTTTCAACCTAGAATTTCATATCCAGCAAAACTAAGCTTCATAAGTGAAGGAGAAATAAAATCCTTTACAGACAAGCAGTTGCTGAGAGATTTTATCACCACCAGGGCTGCCATAAAAGAGCTCCTGAAGGAAGCGCTAAACATTGGAAAGGAACAACCAGTACCACCTGCTGCAAAATCATGCCAAAATGTAAAGACCATCGAGACTAGGAAGAAACTGCATCAACTAGCGAGCAAAATAACCAGCTAATATCATAATGACTGGATCAAATTCACACATAACAATATTAACTTTAAATGTCAATGGACTAAATGCTGCAATTAAAAGACACAGACTGGCAAATTGGATAAAGAGTCAAGACCCATCAGTGTGCTGTATTCAGGAAACCCATCTCACGTGCAGAGACACACATAGGCTCAAAATAAAAGGATGGAGGAAGATCTACCAAGCAAATGGAAAACAAAAAAAGGCAGGGGTTGCAATCCTAGTCTCTGATAAAACAGACTTTAAACCAACAAAGATCAAAAGAGACAAGGCCATTACTTAATGGTAAAGGGATCAATTCAACAAGAAGAACTAACTATCCTAAATATATATGCATCCAATACAGGAGCACCCAGATTCATAAAGCAAGTCCTGAGTGACCTACAAAGAGACTTAGACTCCCACACAATAATAATGGGAGACTTTAACACCTCACTGTCAACATTAGACAGATCAACGAGACAGAAAGTCAACAAGGATACCCAGGAATTGAACTCAGCTCTGCACCAAGCAGACCTGGTAGACATCTACAGAACTCTCCACCCCAAATCAACAGAATATACATTTTTTTCAGCACCACACCACACCTATCCCAAAACTGACCACATAGTTGGAAGTAAAGCACTCCTCAGCAAATGTAAAAGAACAGAAATTATAACAAACTATCTCTCAGACCACAGTGCAATCAAACTAGAACTCAGGATTAAGAATCTCACTCAAAACCACTCAACTACATGGAAACTGAACAACCTGCTCCGGAATGACTAGTGGGTACATAACGAAATGAAGGCAGAAATAAAGATGTTCTTTGAAACCAACGAGAACAAAGACACAACATACCAGAATCTCTGGGACACATTCAAAGCAGTGTGTAGAGGGAAATTTATAACACTAATTGCCCACAAGAGAAAGCAGGAAAGATCCAAAATTGGCACCCTAACATCACAATTAAAAGAACTAGAAAAGCAAGAGCAAACACATTCAAAAGCTAGCAGAAGGCAAGAAATAACTAAAATCAGAGCAGAACTGAAGGAAATAGAGACACAAAAAACCCTTCAAAAAATTAACGAATCCAGGAGCTGGTTTTTTGAAAGGATCAACAAAATTGATAGACCACTAGCAAGACTAATAAAGAAAAAAGAGAGAAGAATCAAATAGACGCAATAAAAAATGTTAAAGGGAATATCACCACCAATCCCACAGAAATACAAACTACCATCAGAGAATACTACAAACACGTCTATGCAAATAAACTAGAAAATCTAGAAGAAATGGATAAATTCCTCGACACATGCAGTCTCCCAAGACTAAACCAGGAAGAAGTTGAATCTCTGAATAGACCAATAACAGGCTCTGAAATTGTGGCAATAATCAATAGCTTACCAACCAAAGAGTCCAGGACCAGATGGATTCACAGCTGAATTCTACCAGAGATACAAGGAGGAACTGGTACCATTCCTTCTGAAACTATTCCAATCAATAGAAAAAGAGGGAATCCTCCCTAACTCATTTTATGAGGCCAGCATCATCCTGATACCAAAGCCTGGCAGAGACACAACCAAAAAAGAGAATTTTACACCAATATCCTTAATGAACATTGATGCAAAAATTCTCAATAAAATACTGGCAAACCCAATCCAGCAGCACATCAAAAAGCTTATCCACCATGATCAAGTGGGCTTCATCCCTGGGATGCAAGGCTGTTTCAACATACGCAAATCAATAAATGTAATCCAGCATATAAACAGAACCAAAGACAAAAACCACATGATTATCTCAATAGATGCAGAAAAGGCCTTTGACAAAATTCAGCAACCCTTCATGCTAAAAACTCTCAATAAATTAGGTATTGATGGGACGTATCTCAAAATAATAAGAGCTATCTATGACAAACCCACAGCCAATATCATACTGAATGGGCAAAAACTGGAAGCATTCCCTTTGAAAACTGGCACAAGACAGGGATGCCCTCTCTCACCACTCCTATTCAACATAGTGTTGGAGTTTCTGGCCAGGGCAGTTAGGCAGGAGAAGGAAATAAAGGGTATTCAATCAGGAAAAGAGGAAGTCAAATTGTCCCTGTTTGCAGACGACATGATAGTATATCTAGAAAACCCCATTGTCTCAGCCCAAAATCTCCTTAAGCTGATAAGCAACTTCAGCAAAGTCTCAGGATACAAAATCAATGTGCAAAAATCACAAGCATTCTTATACACCAATAACAGGCAAACAGAGAGCCAAATCATGAGTGAACTCCCGTTCACAATTGCTTCAAAGAGAATAAAATACCTAGGAATCCAGCTTACAAGGGACGTGAAGGACCTCTTCAAGGAGAACTACAAACCACTACTCAATGAAATAAAAGAGGATACAAACAAATGGAGGAACATTCCATCCTCACGGGTAGGAAGAATCAATATCATGAAAATGGCCATACTGCCCAAGGTAATTTATAGATTCAATGTCATCCCCATCAAACTACCTATGACTTTCTTCAAAGAATTGGAAAAAACTACTTTAAAGTTCATATGGAACCAAAAAAGAGCCTGCATTGCCATGTCAATCCTAAGCCAAAAGAACAAAGCTGGAGGCATCACACTACCTGACTTCCAACTATACTACAAGGCTGCAGTAACCAAAACAGCATGGTACTGGTACCAAAACAGAGATATAGATCAATGGAACGGAACAGAGCCCTCAGAAATAACACCGCATATCTGCAACTATCTGATCTTTGACAAACCTGACAAAAACAAGAAATGGGGAAAGGATTCCCTATTTAATAAATGGTGCTGGGGAAACTGGGTAGCCATATGTAAAAAGCTGAAACTGGATCCCTTCCTTACACCTTATACAAAAATCAATTCAAGATGGATTAAAGACTTAAATGTTAGACCTAAAACAATAAAAACCCTAGAAGAAAACCTAGGCAATACCATTCAGGACATAGGCATGGGCAAGGACTTCATGTCTAAAACACCAAAAGCAATGGCAACAAAAGCCAAAATTGACAAATGGGATCTAATTCAACTAAAGAGCTTCTGCACAGCAAAAGTAACCACCATCAGAGTGAACAGGCAACCCACAAAATGGGAGAAAATTTTCACAACCTACTCATCTGACAAAGGGCTAATACCCAGAATCTACAATGAACTCAAACAAATTTACAAGAAAAAAACAAAAAACCCCATCAAAAAGTGGGCAAAGGACATGAACAGACACTTCTCAAAAGAAGACATTTATGCAGCCAAAAAACACATGAAAAAATGCTCACCATCTCTGGCCATCAGAGAAATGCAAATCAAAACCACAATGAGATATCATCTCACACCAGTTAGAATGGCAATCTTTAAAAAGTCAAGAAACAACAGGTGCTGGAGAGGATGTGGAGAAATAGGAACACTTTTACACTGTTGGTGGGACTGTAAACTAGTTCAATCATTGTGGAAGTCAGTGTGGCGATTCCTCAGGGATCTAGAACTAGAAATAGCATTTGACCCAGCCATCCCATTACTGGGTATATACCCAAAGGACTATAAATCATGCTGCTATAAAGACACATGCACACGTATGTTTATTGCGGCATTATTCACAATAGCAGAGACTTGGAACCAACCCAAATGTCCAACAATGATAGACTGGATTAAGAAAATGTGGCACATATACACCATGGAATACCATGCAGCCATAAAAAATGATGAGTTCATGTCCTTTGTAGGGACATGGATGAAATTGGAAATCATCATTCTCAGTAAACTATCGCAAGAACAAAAAACCAAACACCGCATATTCTCACCCATAGGTGGGAGTTGAACAGTGAGAACACATGGACACAGGGAGGGGAACATCACAGTCTGGGGACTGTTGTGGGGTGGGCGGAGAGGGGAGGGATAGCATTGGGCAATATACCTAATGCTAGATGACGAGTTAATGGGTGCAGCGCACCAGCATGGAGCATGTATACATATGTAACTAACCTGCACATTGTGCACATGTACCCTAAAACTTAAAGTATAATAATAATAATAAATAAAATAAAATAAAATAAATAAAAATAAATAAAAAAGGGTTATGCCAACAACAACAACAAAAAAGCTTTTAAGAAGCTCTTAAAAGTATTACTGCTCATGATTAAAACGTATACAGTGTTTCAACGTTAAAAAAAAAACAAAACTAGTCAAAAACTGCTGGAAATAGGATGACTAGATATGCAAATAAAGTAGACAAAATATAAGAAAAGACATAAAGGATCCATATAACATAGTAAGAGAAATGGTGTATATATGTATATTGACATGGATATGTATGACTATCCAATGAATAAATATTTAAGACAATAAAAGAAATTTCTTATCTCATCTAAAAGAAAAGTTTACGACAATAAAAAAATAAATAAAATAAAAATAAATAAAATGGATTTGGTTCTTAAAAAAAAAGAATTGCACAAAGAAAATAAGTTTAGCTTTGATTAAATAGTGCTGACATCATATTTGAGATCTGTTGTGAAAACTTGATGCTGTGGGAAAAACAATGAAATGACATTGTCAAAGCAACATACATTGTAGTAAATGTTAGCTTCATTATTAATATAATGAATAGAAATAAGAATAAGTTTTTAGGGGACAACAACAATAACTGCGATTTGGGGGAAGCAGGTAAGTACAAGTTAAATGAATGTGAGAGAGAACAGGGAGATATTTGAGTTTTGTGATGGAGAAAGACCTGGCTTCTTTGAGTCAATTATTATTCCACAGAAAACAGAGCCCCATGTGTTTTGACACAAGAGACAGTTAGGAAATTGGTGCTGGCTTTAATGAGTGTGAAGCATTGGTGAAGAGGCGGGCATTATGGTTCTGAATTGTGTGTCTTGTTCATTGGTATGATATAAAAATAGATCCCTGGGATTTTAATAATACATTTGACTTTCATTTTTACTTTAAATTCAAAAAACAGCTTTAATTACATTTTTAAATTTCCTCCAAGTAATTTTTCTTTAATATGAAGAATGTATTCCCAAATAGATTTTTAAAAAATTGTTCATATCTTCAAGAGGAAATGTAGTGGTGGAGAAATGGGACTTAAATTGTGGAACATATATGTTTGTGTATACTGAGTTGTTATAAGGTCCTACTTCCTAATCAACATTAAACATTGATTAAGATTGTCAAAACTAACAATGCAATCCAGTCAGTGATTTATGTACAAGCAAGCAATTGGAAATTGGAGTGGCTCTGTATCTTTCATGAAAACACTGATGTAATGTTCAGGTTAATCGAGCAACTCTGGATGGGTAACAATTTGGGTAATTTTATGACTGCAATCCATGCTTTCTGACAAAATATATATATATTTACTAAATTAGTTTCTAATTTTTAAAAATAATAATCCACCTTCTTGGAAAGAATGCTGCTATTCAACTTGATGAATTTTCAAATCCAGCATGACAAGACAATCATTTAAATGAGACTGTCTGTTCTTTAATTTCAAGCAAGTTGGATTCAGCCAAGATACCTACTAACTACCCATGAATAAGCACAGACAAAAAGTGCAGAAGTAGAGACAGATGGAATCCCTGTGGCCAGAGGTTAGGGAAGATACTATGTAGGAATTGAGACTTCATCTGGGCTTTGAGATGTGACTCCAATTTAGATTGGCGGAGAAGAGTAAGCAAAGGGAAAGGGCAAGACATGTTCTGGAAATTTTCTACAACAGGAGGCTTATATCCAGGAGTGTTAGTAGACTAAACTGCAAAGATAGGGACCAGCTTGTGGAAGGACAGTGGCTAATAATTAGTGATTCTATGCTGGATTTACCAGACACTAACTTAAAGCAGGCATTTGGGAAACGTCTCAACTTCACAAAGGTTCTGTGGCTGTGAAAAGGGGTTACTGCCTGTTCTCCCCAGGTCACAGGATGATTGTGAGAATTAACATACAATGCATATGAACATGCACTGTACAAAGCAAAGTGTTATAAAAATGTCAGGTGGTGGATTCACACAGCTGTGTGTTCATGCTTTGAGTCCTGTACTCCGCTTGGTAATTCTACTGTGCATCCCAGCAGAGTTTTCGCTCATTTCCTACAATGATGATTGTAAACCTTCACCATTCTCTGAAGCCTTTGACTCTACCAGTTCTCTTATTCCTGACAGATGACTTCCTTACCAATGAAACAGAAACAGACAGTAACTTCTTCATCCTCCTGCTCCAATTTCATAAGCCAGCATGCCTTACTTCCACCCTTTCTTCCTTCTCCCTAGTTTCAGTGGAATAGAAACCTCTCCTCCCGGGAGTAATAGGTACGTGTGAATACTAAATCTCATCTCTTCCTGTCTTCAGAGGAAATTTGCTTCATCTATTATATCTTCAAACTCAGTTTTCAATTTCGTTCTCTCTGTTTGCTCCTTCCCATCAGCATTTAATTATGCTTAATCTCTCCCTTAACTCTACATCCCTTCTAGTTTTTGTATTATTGCCGTTTCCCCTTTATAGCTGAATCTCTTAATGTAATGATTTTTTCTCACAGTCTTCACTTCTTCATCTCAGACTTTCTCCTTAACCCACTTCAATCTAGACTTGTCATCACATATCCCCTCCGTACTACTCTCACCAAGGTCACTGATAACTTCTCTATTGTTAAATCAGACAACTTTCCATCTGTATTTTGCTTGGCTTCTAGGCAGCAATTAATTCTATCGACCTCTCCCTTCTTCCAACACTTATTTACCTTGTCTTCATGATACTACACTGTATTGATCAGGGTTTTGAATTGCAAACAACAGAATCCACTCTGACGTTTTAAGCAGAAAAGGAATATGTTGAAGGACGTTAGGTAGCTCACAATGCATGTGGGAGGACTGGAAGACAGGTTAAGATGATATTCAGCCAAGAAAATACCTATTACATCTTGGTACAAATCCCACTACCTCTACCTTTTGGTATCAACACCACAACTCACATAAATGTTGTGAACGTTCACTGATGCCATCCAAGACTGGACTCCAGAAGTGAATGCCATGGCGACCATGCTAAATGCTGATATGCCTTCTCTATTATGCTTGCTAAATTTTGCAACCTGCAAGGTTATAAAGTTATCTTCTGGATTGAATTTTTGCATGAGTGCTCCCATTTGGTAGTACCAGGTCACTAGTTTCTAAGGACACTGAAAATTTGAGTTTCCTTTCTTGAAGAAACAAAGATTTTTCCAAATATAGGTGTGTTCAAAAGGTGATGACTGCCTACCGTTTTGACATTTGTCTCTCCAACACTCCTCTAGTTTTGCTGCTACCTCTCTGAGCAATTTTTCTCCACCTGCTTTCTTTACTTGTCACTTAAATGTCCAAGTCCCCCAGGTATCCATTTTAATTGTTTTCTGCTCATTCTACATCCTCTACCTGTGTGATACTGTCTAACACCATGGCTTTAATTACATTCTTTGTGCCTATGACTCTCAAATCTTGATCTCTAGCCCAGTGCTGTTTCCTGAGTAAGCTCTAGACCCACATATCTCACTGCCTCTGGGACATTTTTATCTGGATGTGTCATAAGCATCTCAAATTCAACCTGTTTAAAACTATGCTTCTCTGTAGCTCAATTGCAGTCCTCCAGTTCCCTACACTATGGACCCACCCAGTTGTTTAGTTAAAAAAGAAGGATATTATCTTTGAGAGCATCCCTCCCTAATCTTCAGACATCCAGTCAGTGCCAGAGTGCAAGCAATATTAGATCCCATGTATTTTTTTTAATCTGCCTCACTCCTTTCATGTTCTGCAGTCATAGTTACAAGAACTGAAACTAGTATCAAGTGAGCTTCCTCCTAGCTTCCAGTTTTACTCTTCTCTAATTTATCCTCTACCATGCATTTATAAAGATATTGTTTAGCAATAATAACATCTCATGTCCCTGCTGAACACCCTTCAGAGGAAAAGCACAAACACATATGCCCCTATGTGTATGCTTAAATAGGCATAGAATATGTCTGGAAATTGCAGAAGAAATTGATACCAGTGGTTGTCTCAGGGATTAGGAGTGGGAGAACTGAGTGACTATGACTCAGATTTACTTTCATGGTACACTCTACTGCATCTTTTACATTTTACAGCATGTGTATATATGACATGTTTTAGAATAATTTAAAAAACTTCAGTGATTACCATTGATTATATGATAATGTCAAACTCTCATATAGTGTGTAAGACCTCCACACAAATGCAGCTCCTGCGTACTTCATTAGGTGCATTGAGTACTTTGCTATCCTTCAAGCATACCAAATTCTCTTAATTTCCAACATTCTTCGCATATAGTCTCCTTGTTTGAAATGCTCTTTTATTGCATCTCACCTGGCTACTTTTCCTTTAGTCCTATGCTTAGATGTTAATTTCTCCCTGTTTGTAAGACTGGGTTTGGAGCCCTCACTTTGCTTTCCAGATGGCGCTGTCCTTCTCAAACTCCCATTCCATTTTTTAAAATTACTAGTTGTCTCTTTTGTCAGATCCTAAGCTCTGCAAAGACAGATACTGCATCTGTTTCATTCAGGCTATGCTGTTGGTATCTAAGTTATTATAGTACCTTGGACATAGTAGGAAGTCAGAAACTATTATATGGACAAATCTACACATGCCTTTGTTCCCCACATTCCACATTCTCTCATTTTTCTCCATGTGTGTTATTTATGATACACTCTCAACCCTGTCTGAGATTTTCCTAGTGCATGTCTCTATTTTTTTTAATTCAGGAATCCCAAAGCTAAGAATAATATATTCTATCAAGACTAGCAAGAAAGCTGATATAATGCCAGAGCTTTCACTCTTTTTGAGGAATGTACCATACAATTTACAATGAATGAAATTACAAAATGAATGAAGCAAATTTGTGGCCATTATTTTGAGATGTCAAGAAAATCATATGTTTCAGTCTTATCCTTCAATCATACATTCAGATGAATACAGTTTTTAATACATAGAAATTAATATATGGTAAACAAACTCATTAATGCCACTGACTTTAAAGCATATGATAGCTGGCAGTTCCTTTCAGTGTTAGCTTATTTGTAAATGATATTTTAATTTATTCTTTACTGGTATTTCACTGAGCAGCCTACTTAAACTTAGAAATTTTATATTTAAAAAAATTCTTATCTTCCCAAATGTTACTCTCAAATCTCTTTCCAGAATTACATTTCTTAGAACTTAGTCTTTATCCTAGTTTGTGAATTATTTTATTGATATCTTTGCCAACTTTGCCAGCCAGTATTTCACAGCTGGTGAGTCAAGACTTAGCAATAACCCATATTGATCTGTATTATTTTTCAATATGTGGAGTCTTTGCAATTGAGCTGCATGACTTCAAGATTTTATTGGGTGATCAAGAAGGCATTAGTGTTCATTAACATACTAATATAATCTTTTTACAGGATATAATCAAGATAAATGTAGCTTTGGAAATACACTATACTTTAAAAAACAAAACAGCACCAGTGACATCCTAGGTATAATGTGGCAGGAAAGGGAGTGTCATGCCTGAGTGCTCACTGCCTCTGAGACTCGTCTGGACGTTGAGTCCATAGACTAATTTTAAACCTGGGGTCTAGAAATGTTGCTCTTGTTATGGCTGCCACTCATTAACTATATAAGCCTGTCCTAGAGGGATCTTCCAAAAACACAGATCTGATTCAGTTAATCACCTCTTAAAACCTTTCCCATTTTACATAGGATGAAGTCCAAATTCTTTAATATGGCTCACAAAAGCTTTGTGATCCCATACCTGCCTCCTCTTTAATTTGTTTCTGGCTTCTCTGTGCCTCTGTTTCTTCAATTCTAAATTACTGGGGTTAGATGATTTCTAAAGTTCCTCTCAGATCTAAAAATCTATGATTCCGAATAATTACAAAGTTGGCCTCATCTTTCAAATAGGATAAAAGGGAATTTATAAATGTATAAATTCTAGTTTCTAAAATAGACCAGCTTGAATTATCCTGGGGCAAGAGAAGCTGTTCAAGTATAAGAAACACTGTTTACTTTTGCTTTTTAAATGTGGTAGAATATGACTGTATAGCTTACAAAATCCTGGAGAATCAGAAACCACTGCAGCCACATAGATGACGTTCCCTTTGTTGGAATTGCAAAGTTTTGTGGCTAGTAGTGACTTGAAAATTATCTTTTAATGATGAAATTAAGGTCTGAAGGGACTAAATGCTTGTCAGGTTTGTAATAAATGCAGGTCCAGAGTTCAGGCTTCTTTATTCTCACCCCACTTTTCCTTTACTATGCAAGACTGTTTCACCAGGATGGCTTGTATTTGCTATTCATACAAAAGCCCATGTCTAAGTAAATGCCCAGGCAGTGTGCTCAGAAGACAATGAATTCACTCTGCCACGTTGAGCTTCACATCAGACCATTGTAAATGAGGACACTTTCCCCTTTGTCCTTTTAAAGGAAAAGCCATAAAAAGATTCACTGATTCATTCAACAGATATTTATTCAGGGCCAGCCTTTGTTGTGGACAAGCTCTCTACCCTCTTGAATCTTATATTCCAAAGGACATAGCTAGCAGATATATTAAAAAAAACTTAATAAAATACTTTCAGATACCAATGAAGATACCATATGAAGAAATTTGGACTGGGTAGATTACTTAAGATTAGTAACCACTTAAGACTCGGACTTTTATTAATTCATAAAAGGTCTTCTTACCTTGAATGCACTTCTTACCAATTCCTCAGTTATGCCATTTTACCAACTCTCATAAGATATACCTATACCTCCTCCCTACCCGCTTCTTCCAAATGCTTTAATGTCTTTATATCACTACAAAGACAGTGCTGTCCTCGTATTTGTTGGTCATTTAAATACATTCACATTATGTCCCCTTTCCCATAATTGTATTTCCATTATTTTCCTGCACAAATGCTAATTAAATGGATTATTTATTGTTCCTGAACATTTCATGTTTTTGCTCCTTCTGCAGCAAAATAACATGAGGTCTTACATTATAAGTGAAGGGGATTTCTTCAAAATCCACCTGAAGCCCTGCCACACCGTTATATTTTCCCTGGATATCTCTACTCTTAGTCATTAACCTTTCTCTGAATATCAGTCCCTGTAGGATTTGTGTGTGTATGTGTGTGGGTTTTTTGGCACTTACAATGTAGGAACTCATGTTGTTATTCATGTAAATATATCTTGGATTTTTAATTTCGCTATCAGCTTCTCAAGTTGGTAGGAGGGGGCAGAGTCAGAAAATTATTTATATCACCAGATATAAATTCCCAAATGTGTTCTGCATTAATGGGTTCTCAGAACAAATAAGCACTGTGTTTTAAAAAAAGTCTGTTGCTCCCTATTCAATGCACAATGTATATGTTTCTGTTATATAGTATGCATCACTTTATAATGTTATCATGTATATGTTATTTTCTCCAGCTAGAATTTATCTTTGTCACCTAATGCAGTACTTGGAACATAGTGCATGTCCATTATATACTCGTTGAGTAAATGAATGAAGTTTTTTTTTTTAAAGTGTCTCAGAGCTCATAATTAGCTTATGTACATTATGAGTGTTTAGAAGGCAACTAGGAAGAACTATAGTAATATAGTGGTCTTGAAACTTATTTGACCATGTAATATTTTGTTTTCAAGGAACCATGAACCTCTATTAGAGATATTGCTCTTTAAGCAATGCTGCTTGTGAAATGCTGGCTTCAAATATAGAAGGCAGCTAACTGGTTGACAGTGATAATGATCATCATCCATTTCCTGGATTGTAAGCCCTTTTAAGGCAGGGTCTATCCCTTAACTCTGTAATAAATTTTGGATGGGATGCGAAGGTCCATGTGGCCCAGTGGGGCACTCTTTGTTTAATTCTCTACAACATAACCAGCTTATGTCAGAATATTTCTACTTGGCAGCCTAATCAAAACCTGTGCAGTTCTTTCTGCTTAGTAGAAAGTCATAATAAGTCAAAACCTACCCCTGATACTATCCACTTGTCGCTGTGGTTCTACCCCATAGGGCCATCAGAAAATCCAATAAAATGCCTTTGTACATAGAATATACTCAGTGAATGTGTAGAGAATTGAAAATGAATTGTGAGAATTTGACTTATATTAGGTTTTTGAATTGGGATTTGGAACTAAAATACACCCTGGACTAAATTTGACATGATTTTCCACCAGATTACTTTTTAGTCATGCCATTTTTATGCCTGTAAATATCTGTACATGTAAATGGAAATGACTTTTATGTAACTTTGCAATTTCAGTACATAAACGCAACTCTTTGGGGAGTTCTTCCTCTGCAGACAGGGCGTGAGAAATCAAAAAAGGCAAGCGGCAATTAGATCTACAGAGTTATGGTGGTATTTTTTGCTATTTTTACTTCGCTCTGTCTCACAACACTACTCCAAGTAATAGGCTGACACTTTAGATCTCTTGGTCATGAATCTTATATGTCTATGAGATCCAAATCATTGAGTTCGTAAAAGGTTTCATATTCAATAGCCTTTTTGTTTTTGCTTTATGATCCTACGTGGAGTTTTCTCTGACCCTATGATAGCTTAAAAGGGAAACATCTATAAAAGAAGATTGGACAAGTCACTGTCTCCTAAGCCTCTGGGATGTAGACCCAACACTGAACATTGAGAGACAGTTTTTAGAAGGCCAATTTACTCTTGCACAATCATCTCCATTTATGTTTATAAATAAAATTATCCACCATTGTGGCTGTAAATAGGGTCACATTAACAGAAATAATTCTAATTCACTGGCTCTTTTCCCCACCTCTCTCACAGAACTTTAGTGCCATCAAAGTTCCCATCTCTTAAGTATTCTTGGGAGATATCTGAGGTATTTCACACATACTTATGAGTTCAATTAACAAAGTTTGATAGCTACTTCTGCTGGGGTAGGCTACATCTATGGTAGTAGTCCCCAGTCTTTTTGCCTCCAGGGACTGGTTTTGTGGAACACAATTTTTCCACGGAACCAGGGGTGAGGGCTCTGGGGATGGTTTCGGGATGAAACTGTTATACCTCAGATCATCAGGCATTAGTCAGATTCTTATAAGGAGCACACAACCTAGATCCCTCACATGAACAGTTCACAATAGGGGTTGCACTCCTATAAGAATCTAATGCCACCTCTGCTCTGACAGGAGAAGGAGCTCAGACAGTAGTACTCACCTGCCACTCACTTCCTGCTGTGCGGCCCACTTCCTAGCAAATCAGGGACTGGTACTGGTTCGCCATCCCGGGGTTGGGGACCCCTGTTCTATGGGATATTATTTTGTCTTTGGAGAGAGTTATGTTGCCTAATGTAATTAACGTTTGCTCCAGCTGGGACTCACTGTCCTGTTCTAGACACTGAAGCTGCTTTCCTATCTGTACCAGGAACTATCATCTCTCACCAGGAACCACTTTTGTTTGAGGAAATGCCACAGTGTGATCAAAATAATTCCTCTCTCTGATAACCAGGGTGTTTTCACTGAATTGTTTCTTATAATTGGCTCTTTCATCCCCATGGGTAAATTGTTCATATCTTTGTGCACATGGACTTGTTGATGGGACCCTCTCTAGCTCACAAGCTTAAGCCCAGGGGACTCCTACTATGGCTTTCAGAGGGTCTGGGTCTAATTAAGCAGTAAAGCCATTTTGTCTTTGGATTTTCTCTGTTGGGAGACTTTTTATTCCCGATCCAGTCTTGTTACTTGCTATTGATCTGTTCAGGTTTTTTATTTCTTTCTGGTTCAGTCTTGGTAGGTTGTATGTGTCCAGGAATTTATCCATTTCCTCTAAGTTTTTAAATTTATTAACATGCAGCAATTCATAATAGTCTTTTATGATCCTTTCTATTTCTGTGGTATCAGTTACATGGTCCCCATTTTTGTTTATCTGGTCTTCTCTCTTTTATTCTTTGTTATTCTATGTAATAATTTATTTTATCTTTTTAAAAAGCCAACATTTCATTTTGTTAATTCTTTGTATTGTCTGATAGTCTCTGTTTTATTTCTGGTCTGATCTTTGTCATTTCTTTTCTTCTACTAATTTGGGTTTGGTTTGTTCTCACTTTTGCAGTTCCTTGAGGTGCATTGCTATATTGTTTATTTGAAATATTTCTACTTTTTGATGTAGGCATTTATTACTATAAGTTTCCCTCTTAGCGCTGTTTTTACAGTATCCTTTAGGTTTTGCTGTGTTGTGCTTTCATTTTCATTTGCTTAGAGAGAACTTTTTATTGTCTTCGTAATTTCTATATTGGCCCAGTGGTTGCTCAGGAACATGTTGCTTAATTTCCATGTATTTGTACAATTTCTAGAATTTCTGTTGTTATTGATTTCTAGTTTAATTCCATTGTGTTCTGAGCAGACACTTGATATGGTTTCAATTTTTAAAACTTTTGGAGACCTGTTTTGTGGCCTAACGTGTTCTATCCTGGAGAACTTTCCATGTATCGGTAGAGGAATATTTATTCTGCAACTATTGGGTAAAATTTTCTGTAAATGTTAACTCCATGTAGTATGTAGTGCAGATTAAGTCTGATCTTTCTTTGTTGATTTTCTGTCTATATGATCTGCCCAGTGCTAAAACGAGGGTGTTGAAGTTCACAGCTATTGTTATATTGGGGTCTCTCTCTTTAGCTATAATAGTATTTTCTTTATATAACTGGGTGCTCTTGTGTTAGGTGCGTATACAATTACAATTGTTGTATCTTCCTACTGAATTGATTCCTTTGTCATCTATATTGACCTACTTTGGCCCTTTTTATGTTTTTTAACTTGAAGTCAATTTCTGATATAAACATAGCTACTCCTTCACACTTTTGGTTTTCATTTGCATGGATTTTTTTTCGTCCCTTCTCTTTTAGTCTATGTGTATCTTTATAGATGAAATAGGTTTCTTGTACTTGCATCTTGTTTTTTAATACATTCAGCTGTTTTATATCTTTTAATTGATGAATTTAAGCCATTTACTTTCAAGGTTTTTATTAATAGGTGGGGATTTCTGTCATATTGTTAATTATTTTCTGATTGTTCTACATATTCTTTCTTCCTCTTCTGTTGTTTACTTTACAATTTGATGGGGTTTTTTTATAGTGATAATATTTGACTCCTTTCTCTTTCTTATTTGTATATCTGCTCTACCAGTGAGTTTTATACTTTCTTGTGTTTTCATGATGGTAGATATCTTTCTTTCACTTTCAGATATAGGATTACCTTAAACATTTTTTGTAGGGCTGGTATAACGATGATGAATTATTTCATTATTTTCTCATCTGAGAAAGAATTTCTTTACCCTTCATTTTTGAGGGATAGCTTTTCTGGGTATAGTATTCTTGGCTACCAGTTGTTGTTGTTTTTCTCTTTCAGCACTTTGAATACATCACTCCCTTCTCTCCAGGCCTCTAATTTTCTGCTGAGAAATCAAGGTAGTCTGATAGGGATTCTTTTATATGTGACTTGATGCTTTGTTCTTGCTGTTTGTCTTTGACTTTTGACAGTTTTACTATAACGTGCCTTGAATAAGACCTTGTTGAATTACAGCTATCTGGGAATCTTTGAGCTTCATGTATCTGGATGTTTAGAGTTGGGAATCTTTCAGCTGTTGTTTGTTAAATAAGTTTTTGATGCATTTGTTCATCTCTTCTCCTTCTGGAACTCCCAAAATTCAAATTTTAGTTACTATATAGTTTCCTATAGGACACCTAGGCTTTCTTCATTTCATTTTATTCTTCTTATTCTGTTTTATTTCTTTTGATTTTTGGTCTGACTGAGTTATTTCAAAAGCCCTGTCTTTAAGTTCAGAAATTCTTTCTTCTTCTCCTTGATCTAGTCTATTGTTGAAGCTATTACATTTTTTATTTTATTCTTTCAGTCATTGCCTTTTAGGATTTCTGGTTTTTTCTTTTTATGGCATCTATCTCTGTTGAATTTCTTATTCAAATAATGACTTGTTTCCCTGATTTCTTTGTATTGTTTATCTGTGTTTGCTTGTATTTCACTGAGTTTCTCTAATGTCTTTCTTTTGAATTCCTTTTTAGACATTTTATAGATTTCCTTTATGTTGGGATCTGTTACTTGATAATTATGATGTTCCTTTGGAGATGTCATGTTTCTTTGTTTTTTCATGTTTCTTATGTCTTTATGTTGATATCTGTGCATGTGGTGTAACAGCCTCTCCTTCCAATTTTATGGTTTGGCTTTAGTAGGGAAAGACTTTTTTCTATAGATGTGTACGTATTGTTGGTTTAGTAAGATGCTTTTGCTTTGATTCTGGGTAGGCACAATATTGTAGTCTGTATGATTTATCGGGCTATAATTAGTATCATTGGTATCTATGAGTTCCTCAGTGACTTAAGCTGTGATTGTTAGTGGAGGCTTTGGTGATGCTTTGCTGGGAATGGGAATCCTAGGTGGGCTGGTCCCTGGGCACCAGTGGTGCATTGGTGGGCTGGGTGTGGCTAGTCCTTGGGCCCTCAGTGGCCTTCATGGGCACCAGCAGTGGCAGATATGGGTGGGCCTGTTCTTGGGCCTCTGGGTGGTGTGCTCAGGTTCTGGTAGTTGCAGTGGTGGGCCAACTGAGTGGGTCCTTGATCACTTAGACAGCATTTGTGACACTGATGGTGGCACTAGTGGCAGTTTTCCAACCCTCAGGTCTCTGAGCCACATGCCCAGGTACTAACGGTGGTGGCAGTGGGTTGGGCATGCTGGTTTCTGGGTTCCCTAAGAGGTACATGTGAGTAGTGATGGTGGGTGGGGTAGGCCTGTCCTTAATGTCCCTGGATAGTGTGCGTGTATTCCAGTGGCAGCAGGCATGGCGGGCCTATACCCAGGCTCCTGGCCAGCATAAGTGGGCAGTGTGGGATGATGTCCAGATTGTGATAGTGCACGTGGGCACCAGCAGTGGTGGCAGCAGGAGAGACAGGTCTCTCAAGAACCATGATGGTGCACCTGGGCCCTGGCTGTGGTAGGTAGGATGGATCAATCCTCAGGTCCCTGGATAAAGCATTTGGGTGCTGATGGCAGGGGCATTGGGTGGGACAAGCCTATCCTCAGCCCCCAGGAGGGCACATGGCCAGTCCTGAGGTCTCCTAAAGGCAAGTATGGGTACATGGTAGCCCTGCTGCTGGAGAGGGCAGGATCGTTGTCATTGGCAGTGACCCTGGGCAGGCGGCTCTCAGTTTCTAGGGAGGGTACGCTTTGGCTTCCTTTGTCCCAGGGGTTGCTTCCTCAGTGTGTTGCATCATCTATTCCCCAGTGTGTAGGACATTGTGTGGACTAGAGTGCTGGGGACCCGCTTGCACTGATGGGTCCAGCTGGTATTATGGCAGCATAGCCCTCTGGATGGATGTGAAGGGATGCCATGGTGCTCTAGGGATGTAGAAAAGCAGGGGCTTTTGGGCCTCAGGACAGGATGTTGTCTTTTGAGGGATGGCCTCTCAAAACTGCACCATGCTGTAGTTGCTTTGGTCTCAGGAGGGTTTGTAGGACCCTATGTGAACTCCCTTTCCGGAACAATGCCATCCTATGGATTCTAGGCAGTTTCCTATGCTAGGCTCAGGGCCTGTGAGGGCCCAGGGTCTCTTTTGTGGCTAGGATTATATGAGTCTGTGGTAGGAATGTGGACCTCTGCAGATCTTTCACTTACCTTTCCTCACAATAGATAGTTCCTCCTGGCTTTGAGCTGATCTTGCCTGGGCCAACTGCTTCACTTCTCTCTCCCATGCCTCAGAGGTTCTCTGACACTTTCCTGCTGAATTTCAGAGTTATCTGTTAGAAACTCAATTTGACATGTGGCTATCTACTCGCTGTTATGATCCTTGTCTGTCGAGGAGATGAGTACCAGGCTCCTCTAGTAAACATCTTGAATCCTCACCCTACTTAGTGGTGATTGTTAAACTTGGTTATGCCTTACGTCAGAAGTCATCAACTTATGACCTGTGAGCTGAGCCGAATCTGGCTGGCTCACCATCCATTTTTGTAAATGAACTTTTATTCCAACACTGCCAAGTTCATTAATTTACGTGTTGCCCATGACTTCCAAAGTCTAGAAAATTTACTATCTGTCCCTTTACAGAGTTTTTATTTTCCTGACCCCTGTATTACACTCATCATGGAGAAGATTTTTTTAAAAAAATCATTGCATGTGTTCCACCACAAACAAGTAAATTAGAATTTGGAATGGGTTTTTGGCAATTGGCCCAAGAACTAGTGTTTTTTTGTTTTTGTTTTTTAACATCCCAGATGAATATGATGGACAAAGTTAAGAAACACTAATAGATAATTTATACCATTGAGGAATATGTGATTTGTTTGGGAGAAAGAAATTTATAAAAATTAATAAAAATACAATTGATGCATCTATAATGGAAACATTTACAAAATCCTGAGGTAGCACTGCGTTGGGAGTATTTTAGTTCATTAGGGAAGTTTTTGTAGGAGGGACATTTAAATAGATTCTTGAGGGATTAATCTACCGGTAAACAAGATCCACTGGGATGGTGTCAGGGAGAGAAGGTATAGCAGTTATAAGTAGAGAGAACAGTATGTATAAAGGATGATAGGTAAGAAAGAGCAGGTAGGTTAGAAACTATGTGGCCAGAACACTGAGAGGGGAGAAGGGAGTGAGGTCATCAGATGTGAAATTGGAAAAGTAAAGACCAAACCAGGAAACATTTTGTAGGCTCAGATAAGAGGTTTGGAATTTATTATGCTGTCCATGGAATTGAATAGAAAATTGAGTTTCTCTAGGACTCAGTTTTGTCCCTCTATAAAATAAATAGTTAGCTCAGATGAATGATAAGAACCCTACAGTTCTAAAATATAGATTCCTGAGATTATGTCAATTATTTCTTTTGACATTCTCAGGGCGGGGAACATAGTTGGGCTTACACAAATGACATGGCCCCTGTAGTGGTGTATCACCTAGCTATCTCTTATAGTTGATCCATTTCTCTTAACAGTATAAATGAATTCAGTGCTACTTTGTGGAATCATTAGAAGGATATGAGAATGCAGACTTCTGGATGGGAAATTCCTTGTCTGACCAATGCATTAAGGTCCTTAAATACTTGTAAAATGATTTATGTTCTATGCAGAGAGATGCTATTAAATGAGGACAGTTTCATTGTGAAATGTGAATGTGAAAATTCACATTCTTCACAATGAGTAGCAGTGCTTCTTATGGGTTAGCATCCAGAAGTCATTATACATACTCAAAACTCAGTGTGTGAATTACCATGTAAGATCTTTAATATAATATCTTATTTTACTATTTTGTAACTTCTCATCTATATCAGGTCTCTATTGTAACTTTATCTGTATTTAGATACTTACTGGGATAGCTATATGTCTACTTTTATCTCTAATAAGCTTGTGCAATTGGCTTCATATCTTTAAGTGAAGTTGTTACAATTCTGGTTTATATCGAACACTTTATTTTCCTCTTTCAGGGTCTGCTCAACTGTACAGAATAGCTGGTGAATCAAACAATAATATGTGGCAGGCTCTGTGATTGAAGATTGCAGGATACTAAGGCAGCCCAGTCTTTGCATTCTGATTCATTTTATCAAGCATAGGCAGATGAATGCGCTGAAAATTTCAAAAGATATTTAGATGATGGAAGTTAAAATAGACAGACTTCTTCAAAACTCCAAGAAGAGCTGTTGGAAAAAAACTCATGATTTTTGTCATTTGAACATTAAACACTCCTAGCAAAGGAGATATCATGAATGCTTTTCTGAAATGCTATTCATTTAGTAAATACTTCCCTCTCCCTACCAAAGAAAATTATATAGGAGCTCCAGAATATTGCCCACTGTTGACCTCTTTGTCCTGTTTTTCTTCACAGACATCGATGAGTGTGCTGAAGGGCGCCATTACTGTCGTGAAAATACAATGTGTGTCAACACCCCGGGTTCTTTTATGTGCATCTGCAAAACTGGATACATCAGAATTGATGATTATTCATGTACAGGTAAACGGTGGCTATTTGTGAAATAAAATATTTTTATGTCTTAAGTTTACTTTTAAAAATTTCTTTGACTCTCATTTTTTTGATAAGTATACCATAAATACAACAAAACATTAGCAAAATCATATCTTCTTGATTTGGTAGTTATTTCTTAATCTGTTCTAAAGAAAAAAAACACCTGCTTGCTCTGGATAAATATATACTCCAATTTGGAAGATAAAAATCCTAAAAAATGAGTATATGCTACATTTATACTTAGTATTTATGCTCAAAATTTGTGTGAAATACTATGGTCAATCTGAGAAACAGTCCCTAAATGATATATGATGATAGATTTTTGAATAGAAAAATAATAACATAAATAATGTGATTTTTTTCAGAGATAGATTTAGAGTTCTAGGACATGGGACTATTAAATATAAATGAGCTTCTTCACATGTCTGAGAAGTACAATTGAGAACTACATCAAAGAAGTTTTCTATATTTTTGTTGTATGAAATACCACTCTTTTAGTATCATCTAAAGTCTTGTTAGGGATATTGTGTTAGTAGTGTCTGAAGTTGGTCCTGGCTTGGGGTAATACAGCATATTCCTTTTATTCTATAGCTTTCTACCTGTAGAATATGAAAACAAAACAAAACAAAACAAAACAAAACATGATGCTAGAAGAGTAGCTTGAATACTGTAGGATTTGAGGAAATGTGGGTGTGAAACAGAACATTTCTTTTCATCTCTATATTTTTAAATAGAAGAAACAAAAATAACATATTTTAGAAAAACAGGTAGAATCATAAAACTGGAGAGCACCCAAAAATGTTATTCTTGTCACCTATTTCTCTAGCTCCAACTTTATGATCTTTATCAGGTGCATGTATAAACAAAACCTAGATGTTTTCAGGGAAAGAGACTCCATAATCCTCCCTAGTAAAAATATGAATCTATAATAGAAGTATCACTTTGTCTTTGTTTTAGTTGTCTGCTTCTAAGTCTTCATTATAGTGTCCATACTGTCTGCTAATTGATAGCCTTATCACAGGGAAGGATCTTCTTCTAAATTCAAATATAGTATTTATAAAAACAAAATGATGGCATTCAAAAAGAATGAGAAGTGACTTCCCGATTTATGGAAAATAACTGAAGATATCCTGGAGGTAGAAGATATTTAATATAAAAATGCTGATGGATTTACAAATTCCTATCTTTTTTGTCAGTTCATCCTAAACATTTCCTAATTATGGAAACAATTCTTCATTTTTTTAGACAAAATTTAAGTACATTGAGTGGAAGAGTTTCTTGACGTAGGACTACAGAGATGCTTTTCAGCATAAAAAGAATATAAAAGAACAAATTATAATAAATAAAAGGAATATATCATTTACTATACTATTGATAATACCAATAAATCTGAATTTCCATTTCATCTTTAACAAGAAAACTAAGATAAAACTGCTGCATCTTAGAATGCATATATTTCAAGGTGTGCTTATTAAAAATGAGTGCTAGCAGTTCCAGGGGAGCCCACTGATTCTTTGGTATTATAGACTTGAAAAGCTTTGTGCATTTTTATATTTCCTAATGATTCTCTTTGTTTTTGTTATATTCTTAAAGTAGTGTTAGAAATTTTAAGTGAAAGGACATGGGACATAATTTGGCCTACTGTTGAGTAAGGAGTATTTCTGCAGGGCAGGATATTTTTAAGAGATTCATTTCCATTCTGAGTCTGTTGGATATAAATCCAAGGAATAGTTTAGCTTTCATACATTTACAGAGAGTCTTCTGCTTTGGCTTCGCCTCTCCCAGTGCACTTTCCTTCCAAATAAAATCCTACAAATTAATGTTTGTTTTTGACTACTTGGGAGGAATTTTCCCTTACCATTTCAAAGTATCTAATGACATAATTGAGAACTATTCCTTTGTAAGAATGGGAAGGGAGTAGAAAATCATTTTAAGAAACGCTATTCAGACTATGATTTTTTTATGCCTAAGAAACCAGAGCCAAGAATCTCAGGATCTGGCAGATGATAAAATGTATTTCTTTAATGAGGCACTAGCATTTTCAACTAACACCACTATTTCTATGCTACCACTTAAAGAGGAGAAACTTTCTTGCCCTTAAATTTTCTCTCTATTATGACTAGGTCTATGAACACAAAACTTGGATTTTTTTTAGAGAATATGTCGATTTTATTTTTAGTCCAGAGTCAGGTGAATATTGCCAAAGCTTATTTTTTTTTAATGTTAGGCCTTAGAAGGTCAACACATATTCCAGGTTTCTGTAAAGAAAATACATGTTTTCATTTTATGTCCTGGGATTGGCTCCCCCACACTTTGATATTAGGGTCTGTACACAAGTCTTAAAGAAATTACTCCCCTAATGGGACTTTGCCTTGTGACCAAAGTCTTCTATCCTGTTCCTTTTTGAGAGCTCCCTTAAGACCAGAGTAGGACTTTATTTATCTTATAAAATATTGAGATTTATTTTTTTCTAAATTTTAGTAACAGACACCCACATACTTGTAGTAGGAGACGTTCCAGAATGAATGTCAAACCATCACTGCTGAGCCTGTCCCTGATGTTTGTGTCCGAGCTCATGGAATTCCATGTTTGTTTTGCTTCTGTATCCCTGCCCTTCTTTCCTGTTAATGAGCCCCCTGCTAACAGAACAACAGATACTCCCAGCAGACTCTCAAAGTTGCTTATCCCATGTGGAAATTAATCATAGACATTCTAATTTAAAGAAGATTCCAAGAGCAATACACATTACTTAATAATCAAGAGCTTTGATCAATAAAGAAGCCTTTTTCTGCTTTATTTGTTTAACCTAGTAACTCTGGCATACAAATTACATATGCAAGTTGGTCAAATTGCATATTTTTTCTTTCAGTTTCAGATGATTTGAGTTAGATTTTCCTCATGTTCATAAAATTTTGTAGATGGAAGAATTATTAAAGATAATCTGGTTAAATCCCTTAAGTTTCACAAATGAAGAAACTGAGGCTCAGAGAGATTGCTTTATCCATAGTTAAACATCTAGTGAGAAGCAAAGGGGGCTGGAATATGAACCTCTTTATTATAACTCTTATACTATTCACTGTTTGTCTAATTTGCAGTCATACAAAAGTAAAGGGAAATGATTCATATTTTATGTAGAAACACACTATTCAATACATTATGTTCATTATTTAAACTACTGTCTTTATAGGTTATTTCAGTTAATTAGCTTCAATTCCAAGAGAAATTTTTACCCTACAGATCTTATAATAATGACCCTAAATCAGAAGTTAGTGGAATAAATATGAATCACCATTTTCTGGGCCTCTGACTCTATTCCAAAGTTGTGGAAATGACTCAGTTGCACTATTTGCACAAATGATGCATTTGTTTTTGCTCTTCTAAACTCAATATAATTTTCCTTTCATTGAAGGTGTTATTATTTTTTCTAATTAATGCTTCATAATTTCTCTCTTTACATCGTTTCGTGTTCCTATAGAAAAAATACTGGGTATCACAAGGGAAGAAAGACAGAGAGAGAGAGGAGCAGGAGGGAGGGAGAAAAGATAAAGGAAAGGAAGGGGGAAGGGAGAACAGAGAGAGGGAAATAGAGAAGAGAAAAATATGGAAGGGAAGAGAAGGAAAGAAATGGAAAAGGGAAGAGAAAAGGGAAGAGAGTGGAAGAGAAAACATGAGCCAAGATGCTTGAGGCCCATTCTTCAGGATCTCTGCAAAAGTAACCTATTTTGTTTATGCATAACAAAGTTTCTTGATTACTTATATGGACGAATGGCTTTTTTTGGTTCACTCACGTAAGCATTAATTAAATTGGGTAGATCTTCTTGAGTTTTACTGGGAATCTCTTCTTGGAACTGGCCTTGAGTAATGGAAAAAGCATGAAACATCTCTAGAAACAAAGATGGAATTGTTACCAGTGGCAAATATCTGAGTCACATGTCACTGTGTTACTGGTGGAAGACATTCGAGTTACCGGTGGTGAATCCATACAGGTCTGCAACAACCTCACTGATTACCTCCTCAGAAGAAAGAATTCAACTGAGGACTGAGGGGCATAAGGCAGAAAAAGAGACTGAGGCAAGTTTCAGAGCAGGAGTGGAAGTTTATTAAAAAGTTTTAGTGCAAGAAAGAAAGTACACTTGCAAGAAGAGTCCCAGATGGGTGACCCAAAGGACAAGTGCTGTGTTTAACCTTGATCCTAGGACTGTATAAGCTGGCCCACCTCCAACATCTTGCCCCCCTTTCCCATGATTCTTCCCTTAGGATGGGCTGCCTGCATGTGCAGTGCCCTCCTTACGCTTGGGAAGTGAGCATGCACAGTGTATTTAGGAAGTTGTATGCATGCTCATCTGAGGCTTTCTTCCCTTTTCCACTGGAATGCCCCTGGAAAGTCATACTATGTCATTTTGTCTCTTAATGCACATGCCAGGGAAGTTGCTTCTCCCTGGCATCTGCATTCAGTTAACGCTTTAGTGGACACGTGTGGACCCTCAGGAAATGGCCTTTCCCTAGTGCTGGCTGCCAATTCATCACTTTTAAAGAAGCAATGTGATAATTGCCAAACCATCACCTAACATTCCTGGTGAGTGGAGGAGAACCCTCTCCTGCCCCACTCATGCCTGTCTAACTACCTATAACAGAATCAAGAATTTTGAGTAAAGATCTGAGTGAAGAGACACTCATTTCAGATCTTCCTCACATTTCTCTCTGCTCTCTACTACAACAAAAAAGGAATTCTGATTCTTCTTTTGTGTTGATGAGCTCTATGTTGTGTAGTTCTTTAGCGTGGGAATAGGAGAATGGGAAGAATGGATGGGTAGAAGGGATGGAAAATTCTCTTGCCCCAGCCTAGGGATTAAATTGATCCTTTAGGGTAGTGGTTGTCAATTGTGCATTCCCACCTGACAAAGGATACTTGAAAATATCTGGAGATATTTTTGGTTATACAACTATGTGGGAAGCGGTTACTACTGGGATCTGGTAGGTAGAGGCCAGGGATGCAACTAAACATCCTGTAATATTATTAGGCTAGCTATCTGCTTAAGGAAATGTTTTATTTCCTTGGGACCCCATCAATGGGAATTTTTCTCTGGTTACCTTTCAGATGAGTGATTAATCTTCATCCTTTACAAGATATCTGGCACAGGACGCTAGGTCCTCATCCTCCAAAAAGATTTACATGGCCCAAAATGTCAATAGTCCCAAGGTTGGGAAATCCTGCTTTAGAGTCACCCAATTAAAATTGTAAGATGCATATTTTCCTTTTAACTTTCCCTGTTCCCCTTTGAATTTCCTTTAGGCCCTGTATAGGGATACCTTCTCTTACTTCTTGTGGTCCCCAGTGTCCTTTTATTGTCCTTTGGCCACAAAAAGGACCCTGTTTTAAGTCCCACTCACCACTAAGTTCTTCTGTCTCCTTTCTTCTATCAAAACCCGGATTTTAGCTTAACCTAGGTGAATGATTCTCCGAAGATAAAATTACAGGCCTCAGCAGAGGCAGCAGAGAAAATTTCTTAGGGCCCCTCAAATTACACTATCCTGGTGCATGCTCCATATACTTTCTACTGATTTTTACTGCTTCTGTTATCCCAGGGCCTTCTGATGCTGGCTTTGGTCCATGTCACATATCATAGGAGGTTTATAAAGTGTCTAAGCACAAGGAGTTCTACTAGATACTTGAGTTTTTGTTGTTGAAAAAAAAGGGGCTCCTCTGGTGTTCCTCAAGGAGTTTCACTTCTGAAAGTACTTAACTTTTTATAGCATTGAATATGCCTAGTGCTTATATTTTATTATCTTTTTGTGGTCAATTCTTTTTCTCTAACATGGTTGATGTTGAATTTTTTTAAAAAGTTATCACTAATGACCAGAGATGATGAGCTTTTTTTCATATGTTTCTTGGCCACATGAATGTCTTCTGTTGAGAAGTGTCTGTTCATATCCTTTGCCCACTTTTTGATGGAGTTGTTTGCTTTTATTCACTCTAAATTTGTTTAAGTTCCTTGAAGATTCTAGATATTACCTTTTTATCAGATGGATGGATTGTATAAATTTTCTCCCATTCTGTAGGTTGCCTGTTCACTTTGATGATAGTTTCTTTCACTGTGCAGAAGCTCTTTAGTTTAATTAGACCCCATTTGTCAATTTTGGCTTTTGTTACCATTGCTTTTGGTGTTTTAGTCATGAAGTCTTTGCCCATGCCTATGTCCTGAATGGTATTGCCTAGGTTTTCTTCTAGAGATTTTATGGTTTTAGGTCTTATGTTTAAGTCTTTAATCCATCTTACTTTTTGTATCAGGTGTAAGGAAGGGGTCCAGTTTCAGTTTTCTGCATATGGCTAGCCAGTTTTCCCAAAACCATTTATTAAATAGGGAATTCTTTCCCCATTGCTTGTTTTTGTCAGGTCTGTCAAAGATCAGCTGTTTATAGATGTGTGGTGTTATTTCTGAGGCCTGTGTTCTGTTCCATTGGTCTATATATCTGTTTTGGTACCAGTATCATGCTGTTTTGGTTACTGTAGCCTTGTAGTATAGTTTGAAATCAGGTAGTGTGATGCCTCCAACTTTGTTCTTTTTCTTTTCTTTTTTTTTTTTTTTTTTTTTTGGAGACAGAGTCTTGCTCTGTCGCCCAGGCTGGAGTGCAGTGGTGCGATCTTGGCTCACTGCAGGCTCCAGCCCCCAGGGTTCACAACATTCTCCTGCCTCAGACTCCTGAGTAGCTGGAACTACAGGCGCCTGCCACCTCACCCAGCTAATTTTTTGTATTTTTAGTAGAGACAGGGTTTCACCATGTTAGGCAGGATGGTCTCGATCTCCTGACCTGGTGATCCCTTTTTGCTTAGGATTGTCTTGGTTATGTGGGCTCTTTTTTGGTTCCATATGAAATTTAAACTAGTTTTTTCTAATTCTGTGAAGAAAGTCAATGGTAGCTTGATGGAGATAGCATTGAATCTATAAATTACTTTGGGCAGTATGGCCATTTTCATGATATTGATTCTTCCTATCCATGAGCATGGAATGTTTTTCCATTTGTTGTGTCCTCTTATTTCCTTAAGCAGTGGTTTATAGTTTTCCTTGAAGAGGTCCTTCACATCCCTTGTAAGTTGTATTCCTAGGTATTTTATTCTCTTTGTAGCAATTGTGAATGGGAGTTCACTCATGATTTGGCTGTTTGTCTATTTTTGGTATATAGGAATGCTTTTGATTTTTGCACATTGATTTTGTATCCTGAGACTTTGCTGAAGTTCCTTATCAGCTTAAAAGAGATTTTGGGCTGAGACAATGATGAGATACCATCTCACACCAGTTAGAATGGTGATCATTAAAAAGTCAGGAAACAACAGATGGTGGAGAGGATGTGGAGAAATAAGAACACTTTTACACTGTTGATGGGAGTGTAAATTAGTTCAACCATTGTGGAAGACAGTGTGGTGATTCCTCAAGGATCTAGAACCAGAAATACCATTTGGCACAGCAATCCCATTTTTGGGTATATACCCAAAGTCTTATAAATCATTCTACTATAAAGACACATGCACACGCATGTTTATTGCAGCACTATGCACAATAGCAAAGACTTGGAACCAACCCAAATGTCCATCAATGATAGACTGGATAAAGAAAATGTGGCACATATACATCATGGAATACTATGCAGCCATAAAGAAGGATGAGTTCCTGTCCTTTGCAGGGACATGGGTGAAGCTGGAAACCGTCATTCTCAGCAAACTAACACAGGAACAGAAAACCAAACACTGCATGTTCTCATTCATAAGTGAGTGTTGAACAATGAGAAAACATAGACACAGGGAGGGGAACATCACACACCAGGGCCTGTTAGGGGGTAGGGGACTAGGGGAGGGATAGCATTAGGAGAAATACCTAATGTAGATGACGGGTTGATGGGTGCAGCAAACCACCATGGCACGTGTATACCTATGTGACAACCTGCACGTTCTGCACATGTATCCCAGAACTTAAAGTATAATTTAAAAAAAAGAATTTCAAATCTTTTAAATGTGGTCTCATAAGACAATGTGTGAAGAATCTCAATTAATGGTAGTGGAATAAACGGCTGGTAATTTGAGGAAAAATTCAGTTTTGAGTCATACCTCATATACCACACAGATGCATGCACATCCGCACACACACTCTCTCTCTCTTTTCTTTCTCTCTCCAGTGAAATATTAAATGAGTTAAATATTTTTATTTAAAGAAGTTATCACTAGTGTCCTGTTTGTCAGTCTTGTTTAATTTGCTAATTATGAAGAAAGAGTGGTGAATTTTATGATGATATTTTCTTCACTTTTCCTCATCACTATTGATTTTCTAGCCTTAAAAGAGTCTTGGATACTATTTTTGGGTGCAAAAGGTTACAGAAAAGAATTTGCTGCTGAGCAACTAAAGCAAAGATTTTAAGTCAGTTGTAACCCATGCATGCCCCTTTCTCAAACATTGCTCTGTGTGTTTAATTTATTTAAAATAATACCAGAAAGGTAATTTCTTTGATGGATTTAAAGAAACGATATGTTGAAAAGGCAGCAATGTTATTGTTTTTATTCTTCTTCCCCAAAAATTTGTATTGCAGCAAAAATTTATTGTATGGACAAACAATACCTTCATATCAGCTATTTAAAAATAGCTTTCAATGGATTTATCAAAATCACAAGTACAGAACAAAACAGATAATTTATCGTGTGTGCATGTACCATAATAATTACTGGTATATAAATGGTAAAAGAAGTAAGAATACTGGGGACAATGACAGAGTAGATAGGGCCACAAGAAGCACAGATTGAGAAGGACGATGACAAAGAGCCAGAAGTGGAAATATGCATATCAGCTTTCACAAAAACATTAAACAAAGTTATTTTAGTTGTAAAGTGCCTTGTACACTTTTCCTTTAGTAAAATGCTTACTGCAAAAGAAATGTTTAATGAACACTAGCTGTTTTTATTGTGACTCTTATGGTTAGACAAGTTCTTATGTTGAGGAAATGTCTTATTTCTCACTGGGACCCTTTCAACTGGGCACTTTTCTCTGGTTAATTTTAAACTGAGTTGTAAACTTACATGAGATAGCTGTGTTGGAGCAATGGACTCAATGTGTTATTGTTTATTCGACTGTACTTCTTCTGTACCTGTGAATAGGGGCTTAAAAACCTTGATGTACGGTTACTCTGGAAGTTGGAAAATTCCTGCCTTTGGAGGATTTGTTGTACTTCCTAGGAAGAATTTCCAGAATGAATGTTAGATTGTGATACCCAGGGACTAAATGGAAACATTCAGGGTTTCACAATACTAATCTTCCTGGGGTAAAGAATAGCACCTCTAAACAATCAGCAGGTCTGGGCCATTCTCAAGCAGGACAGATTTTGTGAGCCTGGCTGCTTCTGTGTGAATTTATTTTAGAAAGAGCCACAGTCAACAATCAGACAATCCTACCATCTGGCCACTAGTTGCCATCATTATTGGAAATGACTTTTGCATTTTTGTGAACAACCATTTCAAATTTTCTTTTCCTGAAATCAGCATTGCAAACTATCAGGAAATTGTGGCATATATCAGCCTTTTTATAAAACTTGAAAATCAGACAACTTTAGGTTTTAAAATGTAAAGTATGCCCCCTAAAGCTAAATGATGCCTCATTCATCTCCTGTGGTTCATTATCTATTATGACAATGTTACTTATTAAGTAATTTGAAAATATAAACATGATCACAAAAGCAAATTAAAATACCAGGCCCTAGGACTCAAAGAATTAATGATGAAAAACTATTTCTAAGCAAACATAATCCAGGAAGCATCTCTAGAAAAGCATGTACTCTGGTTACCAGGAAGGGTTAATGTTTGGAAAACTTCAGGCCACATTTAGAAAACTCACAGAGAACAGAAGTGAGACGTGTCTCCACAGTTACTGAGGAGGCCAAGGCAATGTGCTTATCTCTTTTCTGAAACACATATGTGCATGCATACAATTAGCAGTCAGCTCAAAATGGAACAGGCTCAAAGCCTCTGGGAGCTGAATTGCCTTTTTTAAAGATGAAAAGCTTGGAAAGGAGTCTGTGCTCTCTGAATCTGTCAGTGAGTGGGGGAAGCACACCAGCTTCAACGTAGTGGCTTTTAGGCTTGTCAGAGCCTTTATGTAGCATCATATGCATCTGTCATATCCATATACAACCTCCAGCCCAGCTGGCCATAGTTTGGTCTTTAGAGCACCAGTGGCATGTTTCCCTGTGAACCTGCCTCTCTGCAAGCTCACCTGAGGACTGGGACGGTGGGAGCCGCCTCATTAGCAAGCCTCACCTACTTTGACTTATTAGTCAAACCCTAGTTTACCTTTGTCCCAGGTGGATGTATTAGTTGTTTCACTTCAAGATTTTTATATGAAAAGCAGATAGCTGAAAACTCCCCTAGGGGAATAAAAGGATTATACATGCCCGGAGTGTAATAATAACGGTGTCTTAGCAACAGACACCTGCAGAGGAGAGGATTGCTGAATTTGAAGCTCAACAGATGCCTTTCATTTCCTTTCTTGATTGTTGGCTTTGACATGTTAGCCAGGATGAAATTTGACCTTCCTTGTGCCTTATCACCTTCTGAGTGCTCCGTGGAGCAGAGTTCGTCTTCCCATTCTGCTGCTGATCTAATCTTGCAGTGGGTGTATAACCTCCTGGTGACATTGCCTCGCCTCGCTGCTCTTCTTTCCTCCCCAGCCCGCGGTGCCTCTGCAGTGTCACATTCATGACAAGTCATGGTTTTGGGCCCTGAGATAGAGTTTCTTCCCCCAAATCAGAAGCCTCATCTCTCCTGTGTGCTTCTGTTGGGGTGAGACACAGCCACACTGACTGCTTGAAGAGTGTTTCCTTACTGTGTCTGTGGGTCAGGAATCTGGTTGTGGAATAGCTGCATTCCAATAGGAACTGACATCCTGTTACTTTTGCTGTAAACTATTGGTTAGAAACAAATCACTAGGTCCAGCCCACACTAAACCGAAGGGGATTACACAAAGGTATGGCTAGCAGGAGATAGATATCAGAGGGGACCATTTTAGAGACTGACTACCACAAACGATGAGTATTATATGTAGTTAATTAACCCACTTCAGCCAAGTACAGATAAACTGTATCAGGTTGAAGGACAAGAGTAGAGAGAGTTAGAGTAGTAAAAATGTATGGTGTAGGAACTGTGTGTGAGTGATTGTGAAAAACCCATAAGCTGTCACACATTTCTTTTACTTTTCTTTACACCAGAGCTTTCATATAGGTACATGGTAAGGTTATTGTCCAATTTAATAGATGGGAATAGTGTAAATCAATCATTACAGCACAGTATGGTACAATTTGTAGCCAAAAAATGTGCAGAGAGCTGTGGGGAGCTCAGAGAAGGCAGTGAGTCATCTGGCTGAAACCTGGGTATGGCCACACATCACCAACTAAGTGACATTGAAATTGAGGTTTTTAAGGATGAACAGACGTTTCAAGAGAGAAAGAAGTGAGAGAAGACATTTCAAGAAGCAGGAAGAGTAGGTTGTTGTATAATAGCAAGTTTAGTGTGAATGGAATTGTAAGAGATAAAGCCAGAAAGTCTTACAGAAAATTCTAAGACACATTTATGGTTTCTGAAACATTTCTGACAGTCTATAGACATTCTAATTAAGATGTGCAACTTTAAGTGTTAACGCTTTATTTTGTCTTTGTTGTATGTTATTTTTCTTTTTTGCCAAAAAATTGTTTGTTAAATTGATGAGACTTCCAATAATCAATGCAGGCCTAGTATTAAGGTGATATAGTATTACATTCCAAAGAAGGCAGAAGGTTTTGTTGGTGTTCTTGGAACTCCATGAAAGCAAATTTTCAGTGTGGCTTAGTGAGAGCTGATTTTAGAATTTTTCTCAAAAATTCATTACCATTAAGTTGTTATCTGAGGAATTTAAAAAATGATTTGCAAAAATATAGTGAACTACCACAACTAACAACAACAACCAGAAGACAGGAAATGGCGTAGAATCTCTTTAGTTTGTCCAAATCAAATCGTGATCTTTCCCTGGCCCCCTTTTCTCCAGGATCATTTTGTGGCATTTAGCTTGTGGATAATAACTCACTCAGGTTTCTTAGATTTGAATTCTTCTTCTACTATCCACTAGTTGTGATGATGAACAATTTGCCTAAGTCTTTAGTCTCAGTTTCTTCATCTTTAAAATGGAATGATGTTACATACCTTATATGTTGTTTTTATAACAGAATAAGAAAAACACATGTAAAGTAGTTAGTATGATACCTGGAACATAATAAGCACTCAGTACATAATACTTGTTATTATTGTTGGTATTTGTGGTAGGTAGAATAAAAGCCCTCCAAAAATGTTCACATCCTAATCCCCAGATCTGTGAATAATATGCTACCTTACGTGGCACAAGGGATTTTTCAGATATGATTAAGGTTAAGGACCTTGAAATGAGGAGCTTATCCTGGGTTATCCAGGTGGTCCCAATCTAATCACATGAGTCCTTAGAAGAAACTTAAGAGGGAAATGTGACTATGGAAGACTGGTCAGAGACATGCAACCTTACTGGATTTGAAAATAGATAAGGAGTCATGAGCAGGAACATAGACATCCTCTAGCAGCTGGAAAAGGCAAGGAAACAGATTCACCACTAGAGCCTCCAGGGAGAAACGCAGGCCTGTGGACATTGTGATTTTAGCCTGGTAGATGTATGTTGGACTTCTGACCTATGGAACTTTAAATAAATATAGTTCAAGTTACCAGGTTTAATTTGTTATGGCAACAATAGAAAACTAATGCACTATTACTATTAGCTAACACTGTTGACTTGTCCATAACTGTATTTAAAAATGATTTTTAGTTCCCATTTTTCCCTAATGATTGAAGAAAATACATAATTCTGGAGCAAGTTTGGTGTTTGTAGAGAGAGTTAGAGGGATAGTCTGTTGAGGAGAAGAGGATTCAGTTCACATTTATGCCTAAATTCCTCACTTTAATGATTGAGTTGCTTTTTCCATATTTGGTTTTTGCTGTAAAAATGAGGGGTGCTCAACATTTTTAGAACATTTTCATTGTCTGTTTCCAGTGAACACAAACACACAAACACAAAATCACACAGAAATAGACTATACATTTACCCAACATATAATATATAAAATAAATGTATAGCACATGTCTCATCTGCTCTTTTTTTAGGAGATTCTGAACTTAATAATGTGGAGGAAGTTCACAGACAGTAATTTTGGAAACTATAAAAAATGTAGATTTACATGGTTATTGGGGGTATCGTTGTTGTCACAATCTCCAGAATGCAGGATTGTTGAGAATGACCTTTTAATTCAGGAGTACTCTATGCCAGCAAGGCTATTTCTGAGCCATCCATTAGTGACCTATGGGCCACAATTAGCTCTCAATGGGGATTTATTTGGCTTTTGGGTGTCTTAATGATTCAACACTTAAAAATTCAAAATATTTTGTCATTAAAATCTGGATTTCCAGCCAGATTTTCAGATTAATCCCTATTAATTTTGGATCTGCATTGCCGTACCTCAACTATCAATTACAGCTGAAATAGTAACAGCCTTCTTAGAAGAAGGTCTCCCCTCTCCTAGTCACTGAGATTCAGCAGTTCCAGTAGAAAAACATGTTCGGATAAATACTAGGAATTCTTATAGCCAGCCTGTTTCACCCATTTGCTTTATCTGTCTGACCCACAAATTGGAGCATTTTTGGCTTGTGACCCATGATTTATGGTGTTCAAGTGATCATAAATATGATCATCTTAAACCATGGAGATTTTACTATAAGAATTAATGTCAAAGGTTTGTCTTCTTTATGAGTCATATTCCTAATAGATTCACAAGTCACACTGAAATAAACCCCAGAAGAACCAGTAGACACTTCAATAAATGTCGAATCATCTGCATTAGTTTTCCTTTCAAAATTAAATTATAATAACCTTAAATAGTATAGTCACAGAGAGAATATATATATCATTATAGTGTAGTATCAGCTGCCCAATTTTAAAATCTAGAAGTTTAATTTATTGCAAAGTGTATAACAGAAAAAATTGTTTAGATCAACAGACGCACAAGATTTGTCAGTAAAGTGGAAAATATCCATGGAAGTGAAACTATTGAATACTGGATTTTGTTTTGGCTTTCAATAGCTTTGGATTTTTAGTCTACTTATGTTACCATAAAAAAATTCCATTGACTGCGTGTCTTAAACCAGTGATCCCCAATCTTTTTGGCACCAGGGACTGGTTTCATGGAAGACAGTTTTTTCCATGGACAAGTGGGGTGGGGTAGGGATGGTTTCTGGATGAAACTGTTCCACATTAGATTCCATAGGAGCATGCAACCTAGATCCCTTGCATGTGCAGTTCATAATAGGGTTCATGCTTCTATGAGAATCTACTGATGCTGCTGCAGTAATGCTTGTTCACCTGCTGATCACCTCCTGCTGTGTGGCCCAGTTCCTAACAGGCCACAGACTGGTACCAGTCCACGGCCCAGGCCTTGGGGACCCCCGGCTTAAATAACAGAAATTTATTTTACTTTTTCACTTTTCTGGAGGCTATTAGTCCAAGATCAAGGTTCAGGGCAATTTAATTTCTCGTGAGGGCTCCCTTCCTGACTTGCAAACAGTTGCCTTTTCACTGTGTCCTCATGTGGCCTTTAGGAGCAGGCAAAGAAAGAAAGAAAGAAAGAAAGAAAGAAAGACAGAGACCTCTCTGGTATCTCTTCTTATAAGGACAATTAACCTATTGCATCAGCGCCCCACCCTTATATCTTTATTTAACCTTAATTACTTCCTGAAAGGCCCCATCTCTAAATACAGCCACATTGGGGTTAGGGCTTCAACATATAGAGAGGGGGTGGGGCCAGGCACGGTAGTTTACACCTGTAATCCCAGCACTTTGGGAAGCCGAGGCAGGCAGATCACTTGAGGTCAGGGGTTCAAGACCAGCCTGGCCAACATAGTGAAACCCATCTCTACCAAAAATACAAAAATTAGCCAGGCGTGGTGGCAGGCGCCTGTAATCCCAGCTACTCCGGAAGCTGAGGCAGGAGAGAATTGCTTAAATCTGGGAGGCGGAGGTTGCAGTGAGCTAAGATCACACCACTGCACTCTAGTCTTTTTTTTTGAGAAGCTGTATCAAAAAAAAAAAAAAAATTGGGGGGTGGAGGCAGGTAAAGACATTCAGTCCACAACAGGCAGTCTGTTCTTCAATATCTTCAATAGATGTAATATCTTTTAAAAGGGAATAGCAGTCAATGACTTGTAAGGAGGTAACAAGATATTATAAGAATAAAATGTAATTATCCAAGGGAATACATCACCTAGATTCATTTTGCAGGATTTCATTGTAAGTTAATCAATGAAAGAGAATATGTTACAATTTGCAACTCCTTTGCGAGAGGAGTGCAGCCTGAGGCTGTAGGTTTTAGCTTGCCTGATATTAATGACATTTTTTATTTTATTCAGCTTCCCTTTACACACATTGTAATTAGTGGTATTACCCTTCCTTTAGCAGTAATTCTTTCCACATTCCTATGCAGAATTTGATGAGTCCAGTGATAAACAACTGACAGCACTTAGTGGGAAGAGCCCTGTGCAGCTGCCAACTAAATGCTCCTGTGATCACAGGCAACTCTCAGTCTTTTTGAATCTCAGTGTCCTGTTAGCAAATGGGGAAAATATGATTTCTTTGTTTGTAGTCAAGGTTTTCAGTTGCAAATAATAAGAAAAACGGGCTGTCTTAAGCTTAAAGAGATTTCCTGGCAGGGTATGGGGGCTCAAAGAATACACATAAAGCTTGAGGAGCAGTCTGGAAAATGTGCAGAGACCAAGTCATCTCTGAAGCCTTCAATGCTGTGACAGTCTTCTCAGGATGGGGCAATTGTAGTATGTATCACCCCTGCCACTGGGGACCACTGCAGGATGTGGGGACACACAGCACCAAAAGTGAATTCCGACTATCTCTTTGCCTTCCACTTACTCACTCTACGTTCAGAATTCCTGGGCAGAAGCTTATAGTTGTATTAATTTATGTTGCAAGACCGTGGATTTGCCAAGTGGCAGCAGGTTGATGGGACAGAAAGCATCTTGCCTCTTTTGGCTTCTGTAGTGGTAGGGGCACCCTGCCTCCTACCTGGAATCACGCAGTGGGTGATGTTTCCAAAACAGAGAGGTGGTTCAGACGCTGGATTACCAAGGCAGGCAGGCAGGCAGACAAGAAGGAGGGAAGGAGGGAGGGAGGGAGGGAAGGAGGAAGAGAGAAGGAGAAAAATAAGGAAGGATCTACATTGTCCTTTCTCCTTAATCTGCTTGGTTGGTGTGTGGTTCTATGACAAGATTATACATCAAAGAATGTTCAAAGCATTATGAAAATGTAAGATGGCATTGTGGCCGGGCACAGTGGCTCAAGCCTGTAATCCCAGCACTTTGGGAGGCCAAGGTGGGCGGATTGCCTGAGTTCAGGAGTTCGAAACCAGTCTGGCCAACATGGTGAAACCCTGTCTCTACTAAACACACACACACACACACACACACACACACACACACACACACAAGCTGGGCGTGGTGGCATGCGCCTGTAATCCCAGCTACTTGGGAAGCTGAGGCAGGAGAATCGCTTGGACCTGGGAGGCGGAGGTTGCAGTGAGCCGAGATCACGCCACTGCACTCCAGCCTGGGCAACAGAGCAAGACTCTGTCTCAAAAAAAAAAAAAAAAAAAAAATATATATATATATATATATATGATGGCATTGTTATTCCCACTGCCACAATCTCAGTTCAAGCCTTCATTTTTTTTACCTGAAAATATTAGGTATGATACTATCTCATTCTCTGTAAGTTTTTACCTCTTCATTATGACCTCAATTTTGTCACCAGCTTTGTCTTCACATGCAGTGTAGTTGTTTCCCTCTCTAGAAACTTCGTTGACTTATCGCCCACAGAGTAACACTCACACACCTTAGTAGAGCAGTCTTCCTTTCTAGTTTCATGTCTTTTTACAGCTTCTGTGTCCTCAAACCACAGGCTTCTGCTTTGCAAAACTATTATAGTAGAAGTTGTTAAGGTACCACACTGTAATTCAAATGCTGATGTAGCTGGATCCAGCCCCCTTAACCTGGGGCGAACTAAAGGTCTTAGCTTTTTTGGGCTGAGGGAGGAAGAAGGGAAGTAGGAAGTGACTGACTCATGATCATTTGAGGATTTAGCAGTTAAATTCGAAACATATTTAACATTGCAAAGATTTGACAGAAGGCATATGCTGAACCTTCTTTCTAGTGGGAGGAAGCTTCAGTGCTTCCAACACGTGTCATTCCCAGAGTCCAGCCCTATATCTCTCCCCATCTGTTTCTGCCTGCCTCTTCCACACAGTGGAGCCCCCTCCAAGCATAGTGACCTGTGTGGCAATCTCCACTGCTCTCTTCTACTTTGAGTCAGAAGACTGAATAGCTACACTGCCTAAAACCAAGAGTGGCAAGGACACCTTGACCCTCACCTTCCAACCACATGATGCATCACCTAGTAACTGGACAACCAATTGAAAAATATTTTTTTGTCATTAATCTCATAACATTTCTACCTTTATTTTACTAGGTTGGATTTTGACACCCCACTTATCCCATTATGGCAAGTTTTATTTTACATTTTCTAAGAATGTCTTAGCTGATGTGGTTTTCATTGGCCAGAACAGCCATCTTTATTTTTTATTTTTTCTTCACTTATTGAAATTCTATTCACCTTCTGTTGCTTAACAAACAGCTCCCACTTGTATAAGTTTCTTTGTGTCTTCTCATTAGAAAGTGGGATAATTTAGCAGCCAGTGGATCGAAACTCAAGTGGACTTAGTATTCACCTTCCTAGTCACAGAATGACATTTTCAATAGATTTTTTCATCTGCATTTCTATAGCTCTTAATTAAATCTGTTTGATTTTGTATTAGTTATTTACACATCCATCTTCCCCTATTAAATTATATGTTATTTCAGACTTTATGTCTTTTTCATCTCTATGCAGCAGATATCCCTGTTGCATAGATGAGAAAGCTAAATCTCAGAGAGGTTGAATAACTTGATTAAGTTGTCAGATTTTCTAAGTGGAGGAACCCTTATTCAAATAGGGAGAGGAAAAAACATTTGGCTACTCTTCTTCCATCACTTTAGGGAAGGCAAAACCATTCCTAGAATTTATGTGAACTAGACATGTGGTTGTAAACTTTGGCTAACTCAGTCTCATCCTCAAATTCGTGTTCTTTAGGTTATATATCAGTGCCAGTCCCGGATGGATTTGTATAGGGGCCCTGCTACCCACTCCTTGGCATTTCCCTCTATGCTCTTGGTTTTTGGTGTCCTCAAATTCTAGGTGTTTAGAATGCATATGTGCTATTGCACTGTGGAAGTTTGTCTTGAGCAGAACGCCCCAGGGTCTGTGCTTACTATGTGCTGGACATAATGCTTACAACGCTTTATATGCATTTTTTATTTAATCTTATTAACCATCTTTTAGGTCAGTACTATTGCTATCCCCATTTTATGTATGAGGAAACCGAAGCTAGAGAAGTTCAAGTAGCATCCCAAATTTGTAAGCTTTTAAGTAGTAGGACTACTTAGGGAAGCAAAATTAAAGTATCTCAGTAGTATTTTGACTTAGCATTCAAAATAATTACATTGCCTAAGAGTGATTTGTAAACTCCATTCACTCAAGTTTTTCTCTGACTTCTTTCCTTAAGTTGAACTTTTCACTGCACATTCACTAGGCAGTACAGTAGTCCCCTCTTATCTACAGTTTCGCTTTCCATGGCTTCAGTCATCTGTAGTCAACCAAAATCTGCAGCAATCCAAAAATGGTTGAGTACAGTACAATAAAGTATTTTGAGAGAGCACACTCACATAACTTTGATTACAGTATATTGTTATAAGTGTTCTATTTCATTATTGTCACTAATTTCTTACCATGCTGGATTTGGACATTAAACTTTATCATGAGTATGTATTTATAAGAAAAACATAGCAGATATAGGGTTTGGTACTATTTGTGGTTTCAGGCATTCACTGCAGGTCTTAGAACATATTCTCCATCAATAAGCAGAGACTATTCTATTGTACTGTCTACAAGATCACTCTAGAGCCCAACCACTTGTGTTTGAAATCTGGTTATGCAGCTTATTAACTGTGTGACCTTTTGGAAGTTGCTTAACTCTCAGTGCTTCCATTTCCCTTATATAAAATGGGAAGGAAAGTAATATCTCACACTTGCTGTAAGGATTAGATGAGTTAATATATATGTGAGATATTTTCAGTAGTGCCTAGAACAAGTGGTTTAAAAAAAAGTACTATTTATTTGCTGCTATTTGGAAGGCATATGCTTGATGCTATGGAGGATAAAAAAAAAAGACATACCCTTGCAGACTTTATAATCTATGAAGGGAGGTAGAAATGTTTTTATTTAGTCATTCAACTAAAATTAATAAAAGACAAAGTGAATTGATTGCTAAACAGTTATAAGCTATGTGCTATGGTCATTTGCTTATATAAAATTCTAATGATGGATGCAAGATGAGGGTAAAAAAGAGTATAATATACTATAATATACTGGATAAACATTGGCTGGAGTTAGGAATTAAGGAGTGTATAGACAGACCTATCACATGCTAACTGGGAAACTCAACCAGTTACTAACCCTCCCTGACACTCTCTTTTGGTAAAATGGGAAAATTATACCTACCTTTTAAAGGCATTTTAAGGATTAAAAATATTAAAAGGTATTTAAAGTGCCTACAGGATTGGCTGTGAAATAACATGTGGTTGATTAGATAATATGAAATTCTATTACTCAACTATGAAAGGGATTATTGTACCCAAGGAGCAAATTGGGATTTAAAATAAGAAAATGTTTCTCTCCCAATTTTACCCACTTTTGCCTCGTTCACCACCCATTTGCTAACACCATGGACACTGAGGCCACCCTTGATTCCTCTCTCATTCTGGACACCCAACTTATATTCATGTCCTTTGTTTTAGTTTTCAAAATAAAAAGCTCAAATCCACACCCTTGTCTTTGTCTCCCTTCCATTATAGAAGTCTAAGTCAGCAAATTGTTGTCACTACTATATTGGTTTGTTACATTTGCTTTTGCTATCTCCAGTATGTTCTGCACACAGCAGACAGAGTAATAATTTAAAAGTAAAAAATTGGCCCATGTTCTTCCCTTGCTTATTGCCATTTAGTGGCTCCCTATTACAAAGCTATCATGTGTCCCCTCCCTCCCTCTCCTAACTTGTCTCATTCCACTTGATGTCTTGCTTCTCATATTTAGTCGCATTGACCTCTTATTTCCTAGAAGAAATTTCAGTCTTCTTTTTTCTTCGTGAATTTTCTATATTCTGTCCTATTACTTGAAACATAATTCTTCCCTCTCCTTTTCCATAGTTGGCTCTTACCCATCCTCTGTATTTTAACCTAAAAATTACCTTTTCTGTCTCCTCTATCTAAATAGTCTCTTCCCCATCCACTGGGGTTCTATTATGTTTCCTTCAGAAGCTAACAGTCACAAACTTTTTTTTCTTCCTAACTGTCTGCCTCCTGCTTCTGTACACCCACAAAACAAGGATAATGTCTGTTGTTTCTGCTTTGTTCATCAGTGGACACCCAGAATGGTTCCTAGGAGGTATAGATGAATGAGTAGCAGCAGACATTTGGGACCATTAATTTAGCCAATAAATATTAGCTACCAAGAGCATCAAAGCACATTATGTCAGAGTTCTAAGGAATAAAAAAAAGGTATAGTGAGTATGCAGTGTTGTGTGTGTGTATATATATATATATATATGTATGTATATATATATATATATACATACATATATATATATATATATATATACTTTACTTTGTCTGGTATAGGATGTCTTCAGGGTTTATTAGGTCCTTCAGAAGATTGACAGTCAAATAGCTCTTCATCCAAAAGCTGAGCCTGCATCAAATGAAGACTTTCCCTCCTTTATCATATCCAGTTGCAATACTCACCTTATTCTTCTAGAGGAGAAGTTTAGGGCATACCTTTTAAATAGCAATAGGTGGTTGCCATGGTTCTCTTCCATTTCTTCGTTACCTTGCCTAGAATTTATCTCAGATTTATTATACAAAATTCAACTCAATTACATGCCACACTGTGAACTCACTGTCTGTCAGTCCTGCTAGCACCTTACTCATATTTATTGCTTTTTACAAAAGCAAGCCTATTTTGTCTGTATTTTTTTCTTCTGCTGCTACATAATGGCCTGAATTTCTTATTCCAAGATTGTCTCCACAGAGGAATAGAATGAGGTTGTTAATCTTGCACTGGCCTCTGTGTTCATAGTCTATCAATAGCTGAATCTTCTTTTGTAACAGTAGTAACTGTAAGTTTGAGACACTTACAGCCCAAATGTTCTTTGAGTATTATTCCTTTACAGTTTGTCTTGTCCTATCAAACATCTATCTGATTAGATAGGTTTTCCTGGTGAAATCATTGTTATTGTTCCAAGTAGAAACTCTTGCCCATGTTTCTAACTCCTGTTTAAGGTCTTTTAAGTATTTGTTGAAAGTACAGACACACTTTTTTGTTGTTGTTCATTTTCCAAAATCTGCATCATTATGCACATAATAGAACCATTCCAGAAAAACGAATTTGGATAATATTTATCCATAGAAACTCTACTGAAATTCAGGGGAAACCAAATACACATATTTTGAAAAGCTTGGCATTGGTTAATATAAATATACTGCATCTACGTGGAACCCTAAATTTGCTGCTTTCTTGTTGCTACATGATTTCTTTTGTATATGTATGATTTTTCTTTCAGATATAGATGTAATATGTACACAGGATATGGTGAAAACAGAGGAGGCCAAAGAAGAAAATTAAAATCCCCCAGTATCTCATTTTTTAGTGATACTGCTGTTAATATTTTATCTTTTTTTTCCCTTTGGAAGGTCTGAACCTCGTTAATATTTTAGACATAACTTTTTATTCTTTTTTCTACACATGCAATGCCTACGTACCTTTGTAAATTACATTGGAATTATACTATCATAATGTTTTTTAATCTAAAAATGATCAACTTGTATGAATATTTTATCATATCAATATTTCACAACATAATTTAGAATGGTATTGTAGCTCTATAAAATAAACTATAATTTTTTCTGCCAGTCAGATATGGTTGAAATGTTTAGCTCTTTCTAGAATTTCACTCTTCAGATAGTATGTGGTATAGGACTTTTGTAATCCTCCCTGATAATATTCTTAGGATACACTTCTATAGTGTTATTAGGCCTCAATTGTGCACATTTTAATACTTTAATACATAATATAAAATTTTCATCTGAAAGTTTGTAGGAGTTTACATTTTTATCAGAAGTATATGAGAAGGCTGGTTCTCTGAATCCGTGTTTGTATTGAAACTGTTTTCCTTTTATTGGTTTAAATGTGTGTATGTGTGGAAGGGTATGTATCTTCGTGCTTTTAATGTCTCTTTATTGTGGTAAGAACACATAACACGAGATCTAACCTCTTCACAAATTTTGTTTTGTTTTGTTTTTGAGAGGGATCTTGCTCTGTCTCCCAGACTGAAGTGCAGTGGCGTGATCTCGGATCACTGCAACCTCCGCCTCCTGGGTTCCAGTGGTTCTCCTGCCTCAGCCTCCCAAGTAGCTGGGATTACAGGTGCACACCACCATGCCCAGCTAATTTTTGTATTTTTAGTAGAGATAGGGTTTCATCATGTTGGCCAGGCTGGTCTTGAACTCCTGACCTTAGGTGATCCGCCCGCCTCAGCATCCCAGAGTGCTGGGATTACAGGCATGATCCACCACGCCCGGCCACTTCTTCACAAATTTTAAGGGACAATATTGTTAACTGTAGATACACTGTTGTATAGTAGACCTCCAAAACTTATGTTTTTGGGTAACTAAAACTTTATACCCATTGAACAGAAACTTCCCATTTCCTCCTTCCCCCTTACTCCTAGCATCCACCATTCTACCTGCTATTTATTTGAGTTTGACCATCTTATATATTTTTATGAGTGGAATCTATGAACATTGTTTTATTATGTGTGTATTGACTTTTTTTTCCTTTTGTGAATTGCTTATTCACGTCCTTTGACTCTTTAATCTATTTTGGCTGTTGATATTTTTCTTATTGATTCCTAATGAGTGTTTTCAACATCTTTTTCAGTTTGGATAGAATGCTTATCAGGTTAAGAATCATCTGTGAACCCTTGCCTAGATGGTAGGCTAGCAGCACATTGCACCTGCTCACATGTATCCCTGGTGACTCATAAATCAAGTGGCAGAAAAGTGCAATAGTGACTGCATGGATCAATCCTTTCTCACTTCACAAAAGCCTCTGAATTGGGCAAGGAAGGAAATATTGTCCCCATTTCATAGAGGAGAAAATTGTGACTCCAAAAATGAAGAAACTGGGCCGGGCGCGCTGGCTTATGCCTATAATCCCAGCACTTTAGGAGGCCGAGGTGGGTGGATTGCCTGAGCTCAGGAGTTCAAGACCAGCCTGGGCAATACTGTGAAACCCTTTCTCTACTAACATGCAAAACGTTAGCCGGGCATGGCAGCATGTGCCTGTAGTCCCAGCTACTTGGGAGACTGAGGCAGGAAAATTGCCTGAACCCGAGAGGCAGAGGTTGCAGTGAGCCGAGATCCCACCACTGAACTCCAGCCTGGATGACAGAGCAAGACTCCATCTCAAAAAAAAAAAAAAAAAAAAAAAAAGGAGAAACTAGTACAAGTCCTCACGAGTTTAAATACCAAAACTCAGGACTATGACTGACTAGGTTTTCGGATGCCAAAATCCTGCACTCTTTCTCCCATATAGCCTTACTCATATTTATGGGGTTTTTTTCTTTTATTCTTCATTACAGTTTATTTTCCTCATTATTTTTTTAACAACATGTCAGCACTAGCAGAGGCATTTTGATCACATGGTTTTCTTACGTTGTCAGGTAAGATTGGCTTTATGTCAGATACTGGGCATTACTGGATGCCCTGCAAAAAGTGAATCATTTGATTATCCTTCACTTTGTCCATATCCATTTGTATCATGAATTACATTTGATTAAATTTTACAGTTAATTTTATTACTTACTCCTAAAAATACAATCTTTTAATAATAAGCTGAGGGAAAAATATGATTTAGCTGACAAGGAAATTAGATCCCCTTTGCATTGTTCCTGGTTCGTGCTTTGGATATGTATTATGTACGTACAGATTTTTCCCTTAGCAGTATGCCACTAATTTATTTTTAATGTAAAATGATAGCATTAAGCCACTATTTTTCAGATGTGTTTTCTTTCTTTCTTCTTTCTGTTCTTTTCTCTCTTTTTAACTAGCGGTGAGGGCTTTGCATGGAGCTAGCCATATGCTCCATCTCAGTTACATCTGGTTCCAAGAGAACATAGCTGTAAGAATTCTGGATAGGATCTGAGATCTGTGGAGCAGTTTTTTCCCCTTTATAAAGTAAACATAGTTCTTTCCAACCCTGTTGCTCTTAACTGGTTCACTTCTAAAGTTTTAACATCTTCAGTTACATGTTGTCACTCCCCAACCATGTTGGATTCCAAATATATTTGATGACGGAAGGAAATATGTGGAAATGAAAACCAAAACATTACTGAACAGAAAAGCATTCTTCTTATTGTTTATGTGATATTATAGATTGTATCAAATTTGTCCCCTTGTTCCTCAGCTATTTCTATATGAATAATATGGTAACTCTATTTAAAAAAAAAAACAAAATACAATCTGGAAGATAGTTCCACCTAATAATCCTTGTTGCTATGCAACCATGTTCCAAAAATAGCAACTGAAGCAGTGCAATGTCAGCATAAGATATCTACACAATGTAGAATGTAAAAACTGATCACATGCATATTGATTTTAAAATTTTTGAGTTGTTAGTATGGTTGTTTATTAAAACTAGAGAAAAATAAATTACTTAAAGCTTATAGAAATTCAAGGAGGCAAAACAATTATTTGTAGAGATGGACAGATCAGGGTTCAAATCTCAGTTCCTATTATTTAATTTCACAGACACAGGGGCAAAGTATTTACCCCTTCAGCCTTAGTTTTATCATTGTTATTACAGTTGGGATAATAGCATCTACCTTGTGGGGTTGTTGTGAAGACTAAGAGACTCAGTGAAAAGTGTTCCCATAGTTCCTGGTGCATAGCAAGTGTGCAATAAATTTAAATTGTAATGATGATCATCATCGTTTGAAAGGTCTTAAAACACATTTTTAACCCATTTATATTTGTGAAGCAATCAACAGCTATTTACTGAGCATTAGCCTTTAGTGGTAAACTATGAAAACTATACAAATGAGTCCTTGTCCTTGAAGAATTTACAGTTTTATTTGAAAATTAGATATACATTAGAGAAAAAAAATAGTGACAGCCAGGTATATACTAAGGCTTTGAGTTGGGATAAAAGGTTGGTATGTTTAAGGGACTGAAAAGAGGCCTTAGGTTTGATGCATAGTGAATTGGGGAAGGTGGCATGGGATGAGAATGAAGATGTAGGGTGGGGTCCGATCATGCAGAGTCTGAAACCATGGAAGGAGTTTCCATTTCAGGCTAGATGTCATGGTAAGCCATTGAAGTGTTTTAAGTAAAGGAGAGACATGATACTGTTGATGTTTTAAAGACATTGCTGTAAGAACTGTGTGGAGTATGGTTTGGTTAGAAATAGAAGGGAATTAAGAGGACCATTTTAAGAGGCTCTTACGGACAATAGATGGTGGTAATTCAGATTAGGAGGATAGCCCTGGAAATGGAAAAATAAAGTGGACTTGTGATTTATCTGTTACACAGAATGAGGGAAAAGGAAAAGTCAAGTGAGTCTCATATTTCTAGATTGAACTGCTGAGTAGTTAGTGAAAAAGGAGTAAAATGGCAAGAGTAGTAAGGAAAAGGAATTGACAATGAAGGAACTTAAGGTCTTGTTAGGAAATAACAAGTAGCCCAGCTTAGCTGAAGATGATTTATGAGTGCGCTGCGGGTGGAGTGAAGTGTCATGGTCGTCGTTATGATAACGCTGGAAAGAGGTTAGTTTACATGGGTTCATGAATTTGATTCATAAAGAAAATATTTGTGGGTGTCTGTGGCTTATCCATTTATGTCATTATTTACAATCATATCTGCTATCTGTAGAATCTCTCTTCTACCTTTTCCTCTAGGCATACCTAATACTTTTGTGGGATGAAAAAGACTGGGAGAAGAATACCAAGAATAAGCTGTCTAGACCTGTGCCGCTCAATAGGCTAGTCACTGGAAACATGGCTATTCAGCATTTGAAATTTTGCTCAACTGAATTAATAGGTGGTTTAAATGTAAAATGTAAACCAGAATTTGAAGACTTGGCATGAAAAAAGATTTAAAATATCTCAATAATTTTTATATTGATTATATGTTGAAATAATATTTTAGATGTATTGGGTCGAATAAAATATACTATTAAAATTAATCTCAGTACAATTTTTAATGAGACTATTAGAAAAATTAAATTATATATATGACTCACATTATATTTCTGTTGAACAGTGCTGATATAGACTACTTCTAACTCATGCCAATTTATCAGCGCTAGCTGGAGAATGAGCATCCATTTGGCCTGTACATAGTGTCTGCAAGACAAAGATGCTGTTGAACAAAGCAAGTGAGATAGAGTGGATGAGTTGTTACAAGATGTGTTATCAATAAACATTTAACCAGGGTCCTAGGGTGAAGCTAGAGGTCAGTTTACCCACAAAAGAGTTGTTAATCCTCTACAACTCAAAATATGGGATATCTGCAAAGCATCCCATAGCTATACTGATTTCTCTTCTCATTTTGTTCCTGGCTCTGCTTACAAGACTCAGCTCTTTCTTAAGGTTTGTATGATAGAAATTGCATGTGTATTTTCCCTAATCAATTCTTCCCACTTGAAATTATGTGTTGTGCATTTTATTACCCTTAGCTAGGTAATGTTCTGAAGCTAATCACCACAGAAAATGTTAGTATATTTAGGACTTTTACATAACCTGCATACATCTTAGAATCCTCAAAAGGTCATTTACCTCACAGTGCTATCTATGATATGAGACATTTGTTAGCGGATTCTGTAATGACTTTAGATGAGATTCAAGTGAGTAACTATTAAGTACACAAGAAGTCAAAGGAATTGTGCGTCTGGTCGGAACAGAATAAGTCTAAAAATCACCTTTGTTTTTTCAGTTAAGAAAGACTAGAGGAAGGAAGGGATGTTTCAGGAGTTCTTAAATGAATAGAGTTTGCAAATTAAGGGCGTGCATGGAAATGAATGCTTTGTAAATTCATTGAGGAAGAAAATTCTCGGGAGTGAGAGTGAAAGAGTTACTGGAAGAATGAAGTGAGTACAGAGGATGAGGGAATCTGACAAAGGGCTTTTGCAGTAAGAAAGAATTCCTGGTCCATACTGTTACCAAAAGGTCACAGTGAAACAGGTTGGACCAATGTGTACAGAAAACTGCTGTTGTAGTAATTTTGAAAATCAGCTGGACAAGACTAGTATTATAGACACAGGAGGCTAGTCTTATGAGGCTGCATTGCATTGCTCTACATACTTTTTTTCTCATTAAGATGCATATCAACTTTATAGCAACTTCTTTCTGAAATTTTCAGGCTTGTTTGTCATCATGTTTGCCCAAACTGAGGTTGTTGCATTTGGTCTCTGCTTCATGTCATTTGAGAAACACATGTTTTCTTCATTTCTCAGAGACGTGAGGCTTTTTCCCGCAGTTAGGTCTTTACACGCGTATTCCCTCTGTTTGTAACAATTTTTTCTCTTGTTCTTGCTGGATTAATTGCAACTCATACTTTAGATCATAAGGTTATCTGGGACCACCCAATTTAATGTTGGTCTCCCTGTTATTCGCTCACAAAATACCCCACACTTTTTCTTTCATAACACCTACTGTGATTTGTGTATCAGCTTATTTCCTGTTTTCCTCATTACTTTAAGCTCCACAGTGTAGGAAAAGGTGAGTATGTTTTCACCACTCTGTAACCAACGTGTAGCATAGTGCCTCATATAGGGTAGGTGGTCAATAAATAGTTTTTGGATATGTAAAAGGGTTCAAGAGCAAACAAATTCAAAAGCTAGCAGAAGACAAGAAATAACTAAGATCGGACCTGAACTGAAGGAGATACAGACACAAAAAACCCTTCAAAAATCAATGAATCTAGGAGCGTTTTCTTGAAAAGATCAACAAAATAGACCACTAGCCAGACTAATAAAGAAGAAAAGAGAGAAGAATCAAATAGACACAATAAAAAATGATAAAGGGGATATCACCACTGATCCCACAGAAATACAAACTGCCATCAGAGAATACTATAAACACCTCTATGCAAATAAACTAAAAAATCTAGAAGAAGTGGATAAATTCCTGGACACATACACCCTCCCAACACTAAACCAGGAAGAAGTAAAAACCCTGAATATAACAATAACAAGGTCTGAAATTGAGGCAGTAAATAATAGCCTACCAAGCAAAAAAAGCACCAGACCAGACGGAATCAAAGCAGGATTCTACTTCTGAAACTATTCCAAACAATAGAAAAAGAGGGACTCCTCCCTAACTCATTTTATGAGGCCAGCATCATCCTGATACCAAAACCTGGCAGAGACACAACAAAAAAAGAAAATTTCAGACCAATATCCCTGATGAACATTGATATGAAAATCCTCAATAAAATGCTGGCAAAACAAATCCAGCAGCACATCAAAAAGCTTATCCACCATGATCAAGTCGGCTTCATCCCTGGGATGCAAGGCTGGTTCGACATATGCAAATCAATAAATGTCATCCATCACATAAACAGAACCAATGACAAAAACCACATGATTATCTTAATAGATGCAGAAAAGGCCTTTGATAAAATTTAACACCCCTTTATGCTAAAAACTCTCAATAAACCACGTATTGATGAAACATATCTCAAAATAATAAGAGCTATTTATGACAGACTCATAGCCAATATCATACTGAATGGGCAAAAGTTGGAAGCAGTCCTTTGAAAACTGGTACAAGACAAGGATGCCCTCTCTCATCACTCCTATTCAACATAATATTGGAAGTTCTGGCCAGGGCAGTCAGGCAAGAGAGATAAGTAAAAGGTATTCAAATAGGAGGAGAGGAAGTCACATTGTCTCTGTTTGCAAATGACATGATGGTATATGTAGAACACCCCATCATCTCAGCAAAAATCTCCTTAAGCTGATAAGCAACCTCAGCAAAGTCTCAGGATACAAAATCAATGTGCAAAAATCACAAACATTCCTACACACCAATAATAGACAAACAGAGAGTCAAATCATGAGTGAACTCCCATTCACAATTGCTACAAAGAGAATAAAATACCTAGGAATACAACTTACAAGGGACATGAAAGACCTCTTCAAGGAGAACTACAAACCACTGCTCAAGGAAACAAGAGAGGACACAAACAAATGGAAAAACATTCCATGCTCATGGATAGGAAGAATCAATATTGTGAAAATGGCCATACTGCCCAAAGTAATTTATAGATTCAATGCTATCCCCATCAAGCTACAATTGACTTTCTTCACAGAATTAGAAAAAACTAGTTTAAATTTCATATGGAACCAAAAAAGAGCCCACATAGCCAAGACAATCCTAAGCAAAGAGAACAAAGCTAGAGGCATCATGCTACCTGACTTCAAACTATGCTACAAGTCTACTGTAACCAAAACAGCATGGTACTGGTACCAAAACAGATGTATAGATCAATGGAACAGAACAGAGGCCTCAGAAATAACACCACACATCTGCAACCATCTGATCTTTGACAAACCTGAGAAAAACAAGCAATGGGGAAAGGATTTCCTATTTAATAAATGGTGTTGGGAAAACTGGCTAGCCATGTGCAGAAAACTGAAACTGGACCCCTTCCTTACAGCTTATAAAAAAGAGTTACTCAAGATGCATTAAAGACTTAAATGTAAGCCCTAAAGCCATAAAAACCCTAGAAGAAAACCTAGGCAATACCATTCAGGACATAGGCATGGGCAAAGACTTCATGACTAAAACACCAAAAGCAATGGCAACAAAAGCCACAATTGACAAATGGGATCTAATTAAACTAAAGAGCTTCTGCACAGCAAAAGAAACTATCATCAGAGTGAACAGGCAACCTACCAAATGGGAGAAGATTTTTGCAATCTATCCAACTGACAAAGGGCTAGTATCCAGAATCTACTAGGAACTTAAACAAATTTTCAAGAAAAAAACAAACAACCCCATCAAAAAGTGGGCAAAGGATACGAATAGACACTTCTCAAAAGAAGACATTTATGCAGCCAACAAACATGAAAAAAAACTCATCATCACTGGTCATTAGAAAAATGTAAATCAAAACCGCAATGAGATACTATCTCACGCCAGATACAATGGTGATCATTAAAAAGGATGAGTTCATGTTCTTTGCAGGGACATAGATGAAGCTGGAAACCATCATTCTCAGCAAATTAACACAAGAACAGAAAACCAAATACTGCATGTTCTCACCCATAAGTACTCCAGGAAACAACATATTCTAGAGGGGATGTGGAGAAATAGGAATGCTTTTACACTGTTCGTGGGAGTGTAAATTAGTTTAACCATTGTGGAAGACAGTGTGGTGATTCCTCAAGGATCTAGAACCAGAAATACTATTTGACTGAGAAATCCCATTACTGGGTATATACCCAAAGGATTATTAATCATTCTAATATAAAGACACATACACACGCATGTTTATTGCAGCACTATTCATGATAGCAAAGATTTGGAACCAACACAAATGCCCATCAATGATAGACTGGATAAAGAAAATGTGGGCACTTATACACCATGGAATACTATGCAGCCATAAAAAGGGATGAGTTCCTGCCTTTGCAGGGACATGGATGAAGTTGGAAACCATCATTCTCAGCAAACTAACACAGGAACAGAAAACCAAACACCACATGTTCTCACTAATAAGTGGGTGTTGAACAATGAGCACACATGGACACAGGGAGAGGAATGTCACACACTGGGACCTGTCATGGGGTGGGGGGCTGGGGAAGGGATAGCATTAGCAGAAATACCTAATGTAGATGACGGGTTGATGGGTGCAGCAAACCACCGTGACACATGTATACCTATGTAACAAACCTGCACCTTCTGCACATGTGTCCCAGAACTTAAAGTATGTATTTATAAAAAAGAAATGAATGATAGATGTTATAAATATATCTTCCATCAAATAATGTCTTTGGTTTTGTAAAATCCTTTACAATTTTCAGGTTATTTCATGTACATTTTCTTAAAGTAGTTCTGCAAGTTATATAGTAGAAGAAGGAATTGGATCAGTGTCAGTTACATATAAAAAATGTGGTCAATTAAAATTTTATTTTACGATAGAGCTTTTCAGCTGGCAACCTTTTATTATGTCTGAATATATTCTCTCTTAGGGTAAAGAATTTTACAGGAATGGTTATGAGTGTAGGAAGAGAAGTAGCAAATTTCCCTCTTCAGTAGAAGCTCTTTTAAACCAACAATGACAGCCAACTGAACACATTTTCCAAAATATGTTGTTTCACCAAAAAAAGGTTGGATATTTAGGAAAACTTGATTTGGTCAAGTACTTAACAATGTGTTATCATATTAGGGGTGGGTAAGAAAATTGTAAAATATTGGAGAACGTCATATGAATCTACTATTCATTATTCAGATTTCTCTGGAAGAATCTTTAATTTCTCACTGCACTTTAAATTAAAGCTGGAACTCCTACAGAATACATATTTCGTGTGATTTGTAAAGGCATGACTTTGAACTCAAAGCAAAAGACTTGGCTCTCCATTAGTAACTGACAAGTAAATGTTTGTTTGTATATTTTAAGCATTTAAGATGTGTGTATTACTTCTTTATTATTTCTTTCTCTGTCACACTGCTGCAAATCATACTGGGTAAAGGGGGTTCTATGGATTTCACATTTTGTAGTATGAAGAGGACCCCACTCTAGCTACCATCCTAACTTATCACAAAGTAAAACAGCATGGTTTGATACGCTGTGCTTCTCTAGCACTTCTTTACCACTTATTTGCCTCTTGTAAACTGGCTTTTTTCTCTCCTCTTCTGGATTTACTCACATAGAAATCACCAGTGACCTAAATACCTACAGGAAATCCCTTTTATCATGTCTCTCTGGCATTTTATACTGTTGCCTTTACCTCATAATCAAACTTCTTTTCCTCTTAGCATCTATTAACCTGACTATTCAGACTTTTCTTTTGCCTAACTACATGTTGTTTGTATTTGTGTGTGTATGCATGTGTGTGTGTTTTCTTTGACTCCTGTATGGGCTCATATTTCTTCCTACTTTCTTTTCCTATTTTCTATTCTCCCTATTTTGGTTTTTTTTCCATACATGATTTTCAGTGGTAGTCCTATCCACTAGTGTAGTCAAGAAGACTCTAATACTCTCTATGGCCTAGTTATAGCATTCTCCTTTGGGAAAACAAACAGAAAAAAAATGATAGAGATAATTGAATTATAATTGGAGCAAAAGAAATTAATGAGAAGATTCTAAGGAGACTGAGATACTGGTGTATTTGGTCAGGGTATCTCTTCCACAGATAATAAAAGAAGAATGTACAAAGGTTTTTCTTTTCCAGGCTTCATGTAGACTGTCTTTTCTTTTTTCTTTAAATATGTCAATGCCATTAATTAAATGTTAGTCAACATTTAATTAATCTGATTTTTTTTGGCTTCCGAAGGGAGGTGGTGATAATATTTTAAAAAAGAGTGCCTCAAGTATGTCAGACATGGTTCCAGATGCTTTATTTATGTTATTTAATTCAATCTTCAAAACACCATCCTAAGTTTGATATTATTATCTTCATCACTTAAGTGAGGAGCATAAAGCATTGGAATTTTCAATAGGTTGTTTAAAGTCACACTACTAATAAATACTGGTGCCCAGGTCTGCTTGTTTTGAAAGCCATGTGTTTCCAATGTATGCATTTATTTATTTTTATTTTTTCTAATCTGATTGCTTTTTATTTCCTTTCTTGCCTTACTGTGCTGGCTAGATCCACCAGTGCAGTGTTGAATAGAAGTGAGATTAGACACCTGACTTGTATCTGATGTCAACGGAAAACAACAAGCCTTTCACTATTAAGTATCATGTTAACTTTAGTTTTTCGTTGACGCCATTTATCAGGTTTCTGAAATTCCTTTCTCTTTCTAGTTTTCTGAGAACTTTTATCAGAATGGATAATGAATTTTAGTGTAGACTTTTTCTGAGTCTTTTGAGATGGTCATCTAATTTTTCTATTTCAGATTATTAATATGGTCAATTTCATGGATTGATTGGCCAGTGTTAAACCAATCTTACATTCCTGGGATAAACTCCACTTAGATAGGATGTATGATCCTTTTTATATACCGTTAAATTTGATTGACTAATAATTTGTTTAGAAGTTTTGCATATACTCATAAGATATACCAGTCTGTAGTTTTGTTTTTTGTAATGCCTTTATCGGGCTTAGGATCAGGGTAAGCTCCCTGACAGAATAAGTTGAGAAATGGTCTCTCATCTTCAACTGTTTAGAAGACTGTGTACCATTGATATTCATTATATGCTTGATAGAATTTACTAACCTATTCATCATTATATACTTCATAGAATCTACTTTTTTAATAATTTCAAGTTTTATTTTAGATTCATGGGGTACAAAATAGGCTTGTTACCTGAGCATATTGTGTGATGCTGAGGTTTGGGGTGTGATTGATACTGTTACCCATGTATTGAGCATTGCACCCAACAGTTAGTTCAACCCTACTCCCCTCCTTCTGTCCCCACCCTAGTAGACCCCAGTGTCCGCTGTTGCCGTCTTTATGTCCATGACTAATGAATGCATATAAATGTATAAATTTCTATCTAATATTTCCTTAAGCTATATCCCACAAATATAATATCAGTATTCTTTATAGCATTTAGTTCTAAATATTTTAAAATATCCTTTGAGTCCTTCATTGTGATTCCTTTTTAACTCATGGGTTCTTTGGATGTGTTTTCCCCATAACATGTGGAACTCTGCTTTTGCTACTTTATTAATTTTATTATCTAAAATAATGTTTATATATATTTATATATATTATTTATATATATATACATTTCATTATTTCCACACCTCACCTTTATATGTTAGAGAAGAAGTAAAAGACATAGACCTATTTTGAAAGAACTTAGTCTGTTGGAGAATTTCTATAACAAATAAGAGCAATCAAAAGAAGCCAGTATAATAATACCTAGGAGTTCTGAAGGTAGGAAATTCAATGAGGATGGTTCCAATCAGAAACATTTTCTTGAAAGTGATGGAATGTAGAGTACATTTCAGGAGAGATAGAATTTGGGTAAACTAGAAGAAGAAAAAAGATTTTAGGCAAGGGGGCCAACACAAATGAAGTTGACATGGAATGAGTACCATATTCTTGAGTCAGTGATTAAGCTATCCTTATTTTACACCCTGGAGCACAGGAAAATGAGACTAATCTTTATTCCATCTAACAGCACTCAAAATAATGTTTTTAAAAACTCACTTTCTCGGGGTATCCTTTTTTAAAATTAGCTCACACTTCCACCAGTTATTGTTCCTAATTAATTTCTTCATTATTATGACTGTTCTCTTGATGTGTTTTAGTGAATCCTCATTCTTCGTAAAGTGGGGTCCTTGTGATGGGACATGACCCTGGACTTCTTAAAGGATAATTCCCAGGGTGAAACCTGTAAGAAGCACCAACTGTGAAACCTTGAATATGGAAAGTGCCTTCTGTTAATTCGATCCACAGTGTGGCCATGTGGCTGGGGTTGATCTGTAGAGCAGTTAAGGGGTAACATGTTTACTTTTCAAAAGATATACACTTTCAAATGAAGAAGATCGATTAGTTCAATTCAGAGCTTCTTAACTTATTTTAACATTTAAGAATTTAGTCTCTAAGTTTGACAGATCTATTTGAATTCTAGTTCCTCTACTTAAAATTCTTTGAAGAAATTTTTTCACCCCTTTTCATGCTTCATTTGCCTTATAGTATACAATGGGGTTAACAATACTATTTCATAGGGTTGTTGTGAAAATTAAATCAAAGGACAAAGTAACTTATATTTTATAGTACTTGGCACATTGTAAGTGCTCAACAAATAGCTAAACATAAGCTTGAATGCAAATGCCAGCCAAATGATGAGGCATTTTTCTGTTCATATCAAGTCTTCTTAATTATACAAGTACAAATTATATATCTTCAAAGCGGTAGAATGTTAAATATGCAAAATATGCATATAGGTATTGCTTCTGCATGGATAATGAAACACCTCAACATGATTAATAGGGCTATTAGTAATAGAGGACAAAGTAATAGTGCTTCACTATTCATTATAATATGTAACCAACCAACATGTGATTCTACTTGGAAATGTCTTCAGAAGGACAAAGACAGATTAGAAAAGAAATTTCTAGGGCAAGATGATATTCTGAAATCCTTTATGAACTTACGGTTCTAGGTCAGGAAATAATTACAGTGTTGTTGAAAATTTATGACAGTGTTGGCAAATATGTATCACAATGCAAGCCAGCTTCTGTGGTTGGTGATGATGTCTGGGGAAAATGATTTGTTAATAAATATTTCCATTCTGCATTTTGTTTCAATTACCATGATATTTGTAAAAATGAATGAGGAAAATAACCTTTTAACCCAGAATTACCAGAGAGAGTTCTCAATGCACTATTTCATTGTATGTGCCCGATCTGTCTCTGAAATATGGAGTCTATCCATGAAGACTTTGGCTTAATAGATATGACTGTAAGGATAGCATCTGGTACATTTCCAAGCAAGCTTACCTGTGACATCTCTGTAATGCTTTGCTGCTGGTTTATTACTGCAGGGGTACCGCAATTCTGCATCCTACTCCTAAACACAATGTTTCTTTACCTGAGTCTTCATATTTTAATTCCTTTAAAAATCAATCTGATTTTAGATAATTCTATTGACTAGATAATCCTATCAATAGGAAAAATGTTTTCAATAAAATTTAATTTTTTTAAATTCTGAGATTATTTCAAAATGATTTTCTGAAGCTAACATTAAACTCTCCTAACCTGATATTTTGCCTTTATAGTGGACTCTATTAGAATGCTGGAACTGAAATTATACCCTTTCATGCTTCAGTGTGAAAGTGACTATTTAGGCCATTTGAATTGAAATGATTCTCACCCATAGTTCAAATTAATACAGTGGAATGGATTTATATTATTTGACTCCTTTGTACCCAAATTTAGATACACTTTACATAATATCATGTCTCTTGAAATGTAATTGCATTCAAATAAAAGCCTGATATTATACAGTTATTCTACACTGAACAGAGAAGCTATTAGTCTTATTCCTCACCTGCATATTCACTAGTCTCAAGACCTCTAAAATTTCAAATTTAGAATTATGACATATAGACAAAGGCATACATAGGGAAAATAGTCCTTTAGTCTGAAAGGTACATTCACCTAATTCATATTTAGGTGGGCACACCTGATACGGCCTGGGTACTGGGCTAGTCACCCGGGTCATCCCCTCATTGTCTACCATCTGGCGGGTGGGGCGAGCAGGCAGATTAGTAACTAAGCAAGTGGGTGAGTATTATCAAATGCTAAATAGGTGCTATGAAGGAAAGCTATAGAGGCCAGCATTGGGACCTACTTAGGGTATGTGTTCAGATAGGGCCTCACTGGGGTCCTGAGGGATGAAGAACCTGGGGAAGAACATTACAGGGTGGAGAAATGAGCAGACCCAAAGACTCCAAAACAAAAATGCTGGCCAATAGCAAAGGGCAAGTCTCAAAGCAGGGAAAGCTTTATAGAACCCAGTGGGATTGGAGACTAGATGAACAAATGTATTTCAACACCTTGATCTCAGCTTGCATGAGACCACATTTTGGCTTGGATTGTGTTTCAGTGCAGTAGCTAAGTGGCTTACCACCCTCGACCATGTGGGTGGGCATGCTGCAATTCTTCAGCAACCACTGGATAACTGCAAAGTCTAAGAAATTCAGAAATGATTTACTGATTTATCATTACTTTCACTTCTAAAAATGAGACTACAAAACCCATTGTATTATTCATTAACATTGCATGTTGTTATATTTTAAAATGTAATTTTTCTCCTTTTTTGTCATTATGGAATGAGGATCTGTGTGTGAAGATACGATGTACTTAAATTACATATTAGCCCTCTTTTCTCATTTTTGTTTTACTGCTGTGCACATTCAGCATTGATTATAAAGTACGTGTCCTTTACTTTTGAACTCTTCACCCATTTATTCATTGGTTTTTGCTGACGGTGCCAAACTATGTTAGAACATGTGAATCCAATAAGGATATGATTAGTTCCATTTAATGATAATCAGCCTTCTGGTGTGGTTTCCAGGAATACATTTTATCAATAACCAGGAACCACTTATTTGCAAAATCAAAATCATCTGGTTGCTAATACAATTCTGCTAACATATTGGTGTTCTTGAATGTACTTGCAGAAGAGCTTGTACTACTTTTCCATAAGTTGGAATTGCTTTGTTATTACTATGTCTAAGCTATTTAATCTAATCCAGTCTTAGAATGGGAATTTGGTGATTCTACTTGTTTTTTTTTAAGAAAGGGGAACAAGTTATATCTGCAGGCAAGTATGTCCCTGTGCATTTTTATTTTTTATTTTGACAGCCTACCTATAACTTGTGAAGGATTTTGGCTGGCAGCCAGACTCAGAGCAGTCAACTATACAATTGTTTGTGTCTGTGTGTATTCTCAAGTGTCTTTATAGTTGAAATGAAATAAGTAATAAGTTCGTTGTACAGCGGACCACTCTAGACCAGGGATTTTGGCAGATGCTTTATTTATTCAGTTCTGATTTTTTTTTTTTTTGGTACATCTGCTTTTTCTGTGAAGTATTCTGTGCCTCTTTATAACCAATGAGAATAGATTCTTGATTCAAAGCAAAACTTTGTTAGAAAGATTTCCATGTCAATGCAAAAAATTAGATTAAAGCAAAATGCATCCATAATGCTTGAATTACACTAAGTAATAAATGCCCACTTAGATTTGGGCTCTAATTTTTAAACATTTATTTAGCAAAATACTGCCTCAAATATGTATGCAGGATTTGGGTTGGATTGACAAGAAATGCAGTTCTGAATTTCATAAAGCATTCACTAGGGAGACTGTATTGTCAGCAGCAGTAATTACAGCAGGTAATTGTGTCATTTACCCTGTTACAGACCACTGAATTTGACGAGCATGGGACATACCAGCTGTCAAACCCTGTTAAGCTTTCACGTTCTGGGATTTGCAAAATCACACTAGGGCTCACTGTTAGTGAAGGGAAGGAAAACAAAAAATAAACCAAGATTAAAAACTATTACAATTTTTAGAGAGAGGCTTTTCTAAAAAACAAAATGTAAATTTCTGTAAAATCGAAATTCATTGTGGGTATCCATTTGTTTTGTTTGTTTCTTTATAGTCAAAAGCTGCTGGACTGGAAGTAAAGATAACTAAGATTCTGTCACCTATTAATTCTGCGACTTATTAACTGTGGCCTTGGATATGTCATTTACTCTGAATGAACCTCAATTTCTTCATATCATCAATAAAAAAAAATTGGTGAGAGATGCAGCCGACAGGGTCCAATTTCTCTTAAAATTCTCTGTTTCTACTGTAAACAAATTCTCTCTTACATGCTGGAGATGTGTCAGTGAATAAATTAGGGTCTCTGTCCTCATCCAACTTTTATTTGAATGAGGAAGACAGACCATAAATATATAAGCAAATAATTTTGTATAGTATAATGTTAGAGAGGAACAAGTGTTGTGAAGAAATAAATCCAGGTAAAAGAAGTGATCTGAGACAGAGCGTGTCTAAGGAGGTGTCCTCTGAGCAGAGTTCTGAAATAAGTGAACAAGTGAGTAAGCTACAAAAACCTGTGAATTAATAGCATCTCAAGAAGATGGGACAGCAAAATGCTTTAGCTATTCAAGGAACACAGAGAGGCCAGTGTGATTGGGAAGAGAGAAGCAGAAGATGACTACATTGCAGGGCACACTGTGGCCATGGCAAAGACTTTATATTTTATTCAAAATGGGAAAATAAGTCAAATGTCATGATCTGTTTTATGTTTTGAAATGATTGTTCTGCTTGTTGTATGAAATAAGAAGGCTACAGGTGAATATGTTTGCGTATTAACTGACTACATTCAAATATGTTGATATATATATTGTCATTTTTTTAAATCATGCGCTTTTAAACTTATAGGGAAAACATTTTTTAGAGATGTTAGAGAAGGCTAATGATTAAAATTGAGCTTCTTCTGATATACTTTGATTTTTTTTTCCAATTACCTTTGGAGTTTCATTTTACCTTAGGTAATATAGAATTGTCCATAATATTCACAGAAGAAGTAAAAATACTAACTGCTTGTGTGCTGGCGAGCTTCAGTGTTTCAACCCAATTCAGGAAAGATTGTGAGATAGGGTCATGTGTTGTTAGATTTTATTAACCACAGTGTAATAAATACTTTTCTAGATGTTTTTCTCTGAAATAGTTGACTGGAGACAGAGAGAGGAGAGTCCAGGAGTTTAAATCTAATGACATACAAATAAAAGCCTTCTGTTGCAAGTATTCAGCAATCAGGTCAGGAGCTTCTTAGAACATTCTAGATGGATTTTTTTTCTCCTCTTGATGTATCATGCCAACCTGCTCCATTTTTTTTAATGCATGAAAACATTCAATCAATAAACACAGATGAAGTACTAAATTCTGGTCAGACACTCTGCCAAACACAGGATATAGCAGGGGTACCTGCCGAAGGTTTGGCAATGATAAATAATATGTTTGATGTAGGGAGCTAGGGGCCTCCTTTTGAAGTTGCATTTGCACATCAAACATATATATTGTTTTTACTTGGATGTGTAGGGGTGGCTGGAGAGTTGGTTGATGCCATTATGGTGGGGCCAATTCCCTTTTAACCACTCTTTGTTATGTTAATAAGGGTATAAAAATGAAACACATCTTTATAATGAAGGCAGTCATCACCTAGAAGCAAAGGTTGGTAGGCAAATATACAACTGCCATGCAGGGTGTTCAATACCATGATAAAGGAATGCACAGCAGTCTAAGGAAACAGTTTAGGCAAATATGCTGAGTCATGAAAGTCCTGAAGTAGTGACAGAGAGTAAATATTTTAAAAAAGAGGACTTTCCTATCCCCAAAATAAATCTATAATTAACATCAGTAGTGTACTTTCCCCAACATTCACTTGTTCAGAAATATATATATATATATATATATATATATATATATATACACACACATATATATATATTTGTCATCTTCTCTTTTAGAAAATTATGTTTCTCAAGAGTTTCACATTATGATTCCATTATTCTGTTTTTCACTGATCTGGAACTTTCCATAATGGTCACGTCTCACTTTCAAAGTAATCATTTTCATTTAGTTTATTATTTTGGATTGCGCGTGGAGGATGGAGAATGCAGAGACCAAGTTAGAAGACAGAGAAGCAGGAGCATTAGTGAGTCACCGTCAACTTGATCAATCTGTCCTAGAGGCCCTGGAGGCTACTTGAGCCAGCTATATTTTGATAACTGCAAATCCTTTTCATTTTGCCTTTCTGCCTTCCTCTTGTCCCACTTTACCTTAAAGGGATATTGTGAGTGAGTGAATGGATTTTATCATTCATGGGAAGATATATGGAACATGTGTAGATAACATTACAAGAGGGAACCTTTAAATAACACCTATTTGCCAGTTGTACTAGATCTGGGATCCCAGAGAAAAGAGGTTGGGGGAAAGACGATAGTGAGGAGGGAGGTGCTGGGTGTAATTAGAGGAGGGTAGAATAAGAGCCATGAATACAAAGAGTGAGCGTTTTCCCTAGAGCAGGACATTGCTGATTGTAATTAAAATATACACTTGCAGTTGGGGAGAAGGGTACATTATTTTAAAGTTTTTAATTTTGTGGAAGAATATAAGAAATTGAAATGAATAAATTGGAGAGAGGTGTGAGTAAAGCTTGCAACTGGGAAGGAAGCAAGGGCAAGAAATAGAGATATAAGAAGGCAAGTAGTGGAAAGAGAAGGGAAAGTAAAGAAAGTTGGCATCAGAATCAATCCCCATTTGTTGTCATTCAGTTGCTTCTTGTTTTATTATTATACTTTAAGTTCTAGGGTACATGTGCAGGATGTGCAGTTTTGTTACATGGGTATACACGTGCCATGGTGGTTTGCTGCACTCATCAACCCATCACCTACGTTAGATATTTCTCCTAATGCTATCCCTCCCCTAGCCCCCACCCCCTGACAAGCCCTGGTGTGTGATGTTCCCCTCCCTGTGTCCATGTGTTCTCATTGTTCAACTCTCACTCATGAGTGAGAACATGCAGTGTTTGGTTTTCTGTTCTTGAGTTAGTTTGCAGAGAATGATGGTTTCCAGCTTCATCCAGTTGCTTATTAAGCTACACATCTTCTGGTCTTCGGGTCACGTTTCTATTCATGTCTGAGCAACAGTCTGATTGGAATCCCAGAGGCCAAGGGCATAAGTAAAAATGGCAAACATCAGAAGAAGGGAAGAGTTAGCTTGTTGGTGTGAGAAACCACCAGGGAAAGAGAATGATGAATTGACATTAAAGTATCTCTTAAACTCCCCTGAAAACTTTTAGTGATTCCTGGGGGCAAGAGCTCCCCTCTGTGAGGCACAGTGAGAGAAGAATTACTGAAGTTTAAGGAACCTTATCAAGTAAAAGTGAATGATTCTGAGTGAGATTTAGAATAAAATCCATTTTAAATTCTTTAAAAAAATATGATATAAAAGAAGAGGCACTCTAACCACATTATCAAAAGAGAATATCCTTTTGTATTTTAGAAAAGATGACTTTTGGAATAACAAAAAAAAAGATTTCACTCTATTTCTAAATTGATTCCTGCCACTCGAGCAGAACAAAACACAGGTGTAAGTTAGCCATTACTTGCTACTTAATATCTATCTATGTCTAGTGCATATAAATTATATACATACACACACATATATACTATATATTCACACACGTACCCACATATATGCACACATAAAGAAATACAGTTGTATCTATTATTTTATGAGGGAATAATATCCATAGATATCTTGAGAATGAGAATTCTGCCTTACTCATCTTGTAACGACCACAACTCTAATTTAAGCACAGGAGACCTTAACACGTATTTATAACATCAATAAACACACCACTGCAAATCAAAATATTAAAAGACCTTTAAAGATATTAGCTCTAAAATGTTAGAAATAAATAGTCTGAAACACAATAAACACAGAAGCATGAAATAAAACTGCACAAAAGATACTTTTATATGCTTCTTCCTGTTTTATCAAGAACAATGTATGTAATCCTTTGGAATAGGAAATTATCTTTTATCTTGTATTTTGCTGCAGGAGATATTGAAATAACATACTCTAAGAAAGATAAATTTTGTAATGAAGCTCGTTTTAAAATTAAGCCCCTGAATGAAAACACTGATAGGTTTCTTTTGCCCCATAGTCTCATCACTTTAAAATCGGAGGAATCATTCTATTTTCTATAAGTTGGAAGATTAAAGGTCAGAAAGTAGTATCTGATCCAACTGTGGAAATCTAATATCTTAAAATTCATTGGAAAGACTGTCTATGTTGGAATGCTATGGTTGTTTTTCTTAGGAAATTGTATATTTCAGAAGTTACCTTTTATATTTCATTTTGTTTTGAGGTACTTTTTTCTGGTGTAGTTTGTTGAGTGTACTCTTTAATCTTATTTATTTGTAGATATTAAAGGAGAGCAGGCCTTAAAGTTTTTAAAAAATGAATAGATCATATGGGGTTAGGTGGAAGTGATATTTCTCTCCAGCAGAGATTTTCACTAGCTTAGTGAAAGCCTTTTCTTTCTTTGAAATAAATGTCAATGGATGGAAAATCATGCCTCTTGCCAAATTTAGGGGCAGCACTGACATGAAAACACAGGAGCAACAAGGTTGAACTTTTGCATTGGTGAAGTTAAGCATCATGATTTCTTAAGCAGCGTGTAGATACTTTTCTAAATATTAAATCTCACGGGTGTTACAGGGATTCTGAGTGAGTGCAATGAACTCTAGATGTACAATGCTCTGAGAAATTGAAAAATGTTGATTTTGTATCTGTTGGAGCCTAACCATCATTGATTCATCCATATGTATCAAGTGCCTAAAACGTGGCAGGCGTTAACGGCAAGATGTGAGGGTTCAAAGATCTATACTAACATTTTCTTTCTCAAGAAGTATACTGATTATGGAGTGACAGGTAAGAGAATTAACAATCCCTGACAGCGTGAGGACAGCTGGTGTAATACTAACTCATGAAGCGCTACGTGAACCAGGATTATTCTCAGTGCTTTCCAGACGTTACCACATTTGAGCCTCACAACTCTATGAAAGGCATGCATATCCACAGTCCCTTATCTATAGATCTAAACTCCAAAAAATCTAGACAGCTGTGATGATCAAATGTTTATTTACTTTATTTTCTTTGTTTTTTCTTATTAATTTTTATTTCAAAGAGGTTCTATGTGGATGCAGTTAAAAAAAAAAGTTCGAGCACAATAACAATGAGTAAATCCACGTGAAGGATGTAGGTACTTCAAATGTTTATTTTTTAGAATTCATTTGGCAGCAAAATTTGATCAGATATGAGGCTATTTTGCATCTTTATTGATCCTATTTGGTTTGAATGGTCATATTTTTGCTGCCGAAATACTTAATTATTGAGTATGGCCCCAGATCCTGCAGAGGATTTTGCTTCTGTACTGTTTTTAGACTCATTTTGTAGAGGAGGAATCTGTGATTTGAAGAGATTAAGTAACTTGCCCAAGACCTCATAGCTAGTAAAAGGAAGAGCCAGGATTTGAGCTGAGGCAGCCTGACTCCAAAGTCCTTTCACCTAACCACTTCACATTCTGGCTTTCAAATGTTATAACAAAATGAAACACAGGTTCTACAGGGCTCATCTAAATGAGACTGAGAGAGTCTCAAAGAAAATTTTCTGAAGGAGTTTTGTGTGATCTGAGTGGGAGGTGAGTAGAAGAGTTAAGCAAAGAAAGTGGGAAGGGGCTTTCTGGGCCGAGAATAGCACATGTGGCAGCAAGGAGGCACACGTGAAAGACATGGCCTTTAGTAGAGTCTCAACAAGTGATATTACTACTAGAAGTTGCAGTGGGTACATCAATGTGCAGTTTGGTAAAAGCAGAGGGCCATGATGAAAGCTTTAATGAGGATGTGGTGCCTTGATGGCCAGTGAAAACAATGGTGTGCCACCAATAGCAAAATTAAGAGAGAGGAAGAGAGAATGGGGAGGATTGGTGGGGGCAGAAGGAATGGAGATTAGATTTTATAAAAAGTTATTCTGATAATGGTCTGAAAGTGCACCAAACTGGAGACAGTGTTGTCATTATGAGGCTATTGCACTAATCCAAACAAGAGCTATTTAGTGCCCAGTTTGGGGCACCTGCAGAGCAATGGGGATAGAGATGGGAGGACAGAAATGAGAACTTTTAAGAAAGAAGAATCCAGGTGACCTGGCCCCGGATAAATGTGGGGAGTGAGAAGAAGGGAGGGAGGAGTCTATGGTGACTCCTGGATTCCTGGTTTTGGAGGAAGAAAGACTTAAGGATAGATTTAGCTGTATATTTGTCTGTGGATGGGAAATCTGAGGACATTCTCTCCTGATGACCTGAATGTTTATCTGTGAGGTTGCTGGTGAAGTAATGTGCTGAGGATGGAAATGGGGCAAGCACTTGAAGAGACAATAAGAGATACTGCAAGATTGCCATTCTGGAATACCTTGAATATTCAGCATTGTCAGGTCTCTGAATGTTTTGCATGTTAGATTGAGACACACTATAGATCAATGATGCATTCCTTAACAGATATTCATTGGAGACCAATTTTGTGCCAGTCATTTTGTTTTGGATGTTGAGGGTGATTGATGAATTAGACCCACGGGTTTACCATGTAAGTGGCGGTCGTTAAACAGATTTGAGGTGAAGAGTGTTTATTTGGTTTATGATCACCATCAATAGAGTACATTTTGTTTCCTAAGATGGTCCTTGCCTTTATATTTTGACTTTTTACTTCTATCTTCTTCTTTGCCATAAAAAAAAAAAAAAAACAAAACCCAGGCGAACAAGAATAACAAAATACCTAAAGGTAAGAGGCTCTCTTATATCTATTAATCTCATCACCACCTTCCCAGTTGCCTAGGTTAAGAACCTAAGTTATCTAAAGTGTTTCTTCCTCTTGGCTCAAATATTGATTCACTATGGAGCCCAAAATTGGAGTACAAATCTACCCTTCTTTCTCCATCATTTTCTCCGTTATACTTTAGACCTTCTATTCAAGACAGTTTAATTCACAAAATCACAGGGGCTTGGATGTGTAAAGTGAATGAGACATGGTTCCTGCCTTAAAGGGATTCAAATCTTGTGATTTTGTTGTAAACTTCCCGATGATTCCTCTTCTGTCCTTAGTACTTCCTTATGCTGCATGTATACGTTACTTAGCACAGTGCTTGACAGGTAATAAGCACTCAAGTTTCTTTCTGTTTTTCTTTGTTGTCAACATCCCTCCTCCTCCTCCTCCTCCTTCTCCTCCTCTTCCGCCGCCTTCTCATTCTTCTCCTCTTTCTCCTCTTCCTTCTCTCAGTGTTGCACAGACTCCTGTCTCAACTGTCAGTAATAATCTAACTCGAATGGAAAAGAAATAAAGGAGGAAAGAGGGATTAAAAAGAGAGAGGAATGCTAACTTTCTAACATGAGAAGCCCATTTTGTCAAGGAATGTTAATCTCTCCTCATCTACACATTACTGTTAGATTAGTTTTCCTAAAAATCAACTCAATTTTTCACGCCACCTTTTCTTCTACAGCTGGAAGCAGCTATTTATTGCCTACAAAATAAAATTCTGTTGTAGTCTGGACGCTACTGTTTAGCGTCCAGTAATTATTTCTTACTGTTCTCTTTTAGTCATCACCATCTGCCAGCTCAAATACTTGAGGGCCTTTTTATACCCCATGCTTTTATCTTGTGCACCTGTGTTTTCTCCAGCTGCAGTGTTCTTCCCCGTCTTTACCCTTTTCTGTTAAAAACCCTCCCTGTCTGTCAAGAGCCACCTGTTCGGCCTGTTTCCCATGTAATGCTTTCCCAGAACCTTCAGTCAGTCCTCATCTCTTTGAGCTCCTTAAGCTTCATGAGATTTTCGTTTACAGGTTGTATATTTTAAAGCACTGAAGGTCTGGCCTTGTTACTTTCTAGCTATGTGACTTTGGACAAAGCACCTTATTGCTCCAAGCAAGCTCTGTATTCTCATTTATAAAATAAAAATAAAACTAATACCTACCCGAACAGGCCTTTTATGAAGACTAAAGAGGATAATGCATATAAAACACTTAGCACAGTGCTTTGCAGTCTGTAGTAAGCACTTAAGAATTTAGCTACTATCATTATTGTTACTGTTATTGTTTTCTTTGTTATGGCACTAAACAACTTCTACAATATATCATAGTTAGTTATCTATTCGTATCACCAGTCCTTGAATAATTAAGAAGTTCCTTGGGGTCACAGATCTCAGATTATCCATCTTTGCACTCTCCAGAGCACTAGAATGATATAGCTGAAACCTTAAAATCATATGTTGAGAAAACAAATCTATCTGGTTACAAGATTTTTATTGCCCTATAATGAGTTCGGACAAAGCTTATTTGATGAAACACAAAATATTATAAAACATGTCTTAGCAATAAAATCAATAGTTGGATTAGCTTATGAAATTACTATAAGGAGAAGGAGGAAATTTGAATGTGCTTTGGTTGTTAAGATTCTTGGTCAAATAAGGATTAGGAAAGGAGGCTGAGCACACCAGTGAAAAGACTAGAAGAAAATCAGCCAAGCATGTCAGGAGAAGAAAATCAGAACAAATTCCTAGTTGCCAAGCAAACTGAAGAATAACAAGAAGTCAGTATTGAATAGAATCGGTGTGGTCAGTGAACAAGAAACTTAAATAGTGAATTAAAAATGCCTGGGTGTTAAAAATGACTTTTAGAGAATTTGCTACTGATATGGGCATCAAATAAGTTTACAGTATGACTTCTGGCAGTCACTTTAGTAGCATTAAAAATAGATTTCTGTTAAAATGACATGGTAGTAAGTAAAATTTTTCTATAATATAAAGTGAGTAAATAAGGTAATCACAAGAAACAAAATGAATAGCTGTTGCTCAATATGTCAGCAGGCAATTTTCCCCTGATGTAATCATTGAAAGTAGTGGGGTTTTGGAAACAAGAAAAATGTCCAAAATAGATTTGATTTCAGAAAAGATTGTGAGGAGAACAAACACTGTGGGACATTTAGGCTTTCTCCACAGAATTAAAATGAAATGGAAAAGAGAAGACATCTATCTAGCAAAAGCAAAAGAAATTGTCCCACTGAAGTAGATAATAGGCAACTAATTTTTCTTAAGTGTCCTTATTGTTGCAAGCAATTTTACTTTCATCCTTTAAATTTATTCTTCACAACTGCTTTTTCTTTTTTTTTTTTTTTTTTTTTTGAGACGGAGTCTCGCTCTGTCGCCCAGGCTGGAGTGCAGTGGCGGGATCTCGGCTCACTGCAAGCTCCGCCTCCCAGGTTCACGCCATTCTCCTGCCTCAGCCTCCCAAGTAGCTGGGACTACAGGCGCCCGCCACTACGCCCGGCTAATTTTTTTGTGTGTGTTTTTAGTAGAGACGGGGTTTCACCGTTTTAGCCAGGATGGTCTCGATCTCCTGACCTCGTGATCCGCCCGCCTCGGCCTCCCAAAGTGCTGGGATTACAGGCGTGAGCCACCGCGCCCGGCCACAACTGCTTTTTCATAGAGATCCTAATTTCCTCATTTTAAACTTAGAAAGCTTAGCTAACCTTCTCAGGTCCAGAGAACTAGGATAAAATGGCATCTAAACCAAGCCTGTCTGGAAATTAGAATATGTACTATATACACTGCCTCCCTGTTATTGTTCATTACAATAGTACATAATTCTCTCATTTTTTCTACTTTATCTTTCAAATTTAGTTGTGGTCCTACTACAGCATAGTTGATCAAGGACATTTAAAATCATCTAATGAATTATAACACAATGTTTTCATATACCAGACTTGAAAGGGAAGGAAGGAAGAAGGGAGAAGGAAGGAAGGAGTACCACTTTTTTCTTATAGACCTAAAACCAGAAATTCTGGAGTTGTAACATAGAACATTCTTTAAACTCAGCTTGTACTCATTTTGGAAAGATCTGCAGTATAATAATTATATTGCTAAAGTACTGAGGTGCTGTGGACAAGTTCAGAGAGTTGTTCAGTACACTAGGACAGAGAGAGAGTATATTTTATCTGAGGATTCACAGTTGTTGCCATTCTTTTTGGAATAAAGCAAGAAGTCTCAGTATTGCAGATCTGTGGGCTGTGTGATTTGGATGCTCTTCACAAACCAGTGCAGGTCACTACATATTTGCTTTGGTGGGGACACTTAACAAGTGATGCTTATGGATGGACATCGGTAAAACCCATTGATATCTTAAGCAATCTAGTCTACAGAAATATTAGAGGAATATGACTAAGCAGCCATACATTTTTTAGATAAACCATCCCTCTAAACATGTAATTTGATACTGTTGTTATAAGCTACTCAAGAGCAATTCATACCTCTTTTATGGGCTTCTCTGCTCCAAGACTTATTTAGCATTAAGTCTAAGGGAGCTTTTTCTCAGGTTTCTAGGAATCAAATGATAGTTACGACTAGAGGTTGGTTGTCACTATGTTTAGGGCCATATCTGCTACAATCTAAGAGATAATTTACTTACGTGAAATTTATATTCCAGAAAACACTTGGGTTAGGGAAAGTGAAGCAGCTTTCTTTGTGAAACTTACACCTGTATGTTACTGTAGCTGCTGTTTTTCCAACATTTTAAAATTTGAACAGAAGAGTAGAAGATGCAAGATAGGCAATATATTTCCTGTGGCAGGAGAAATACATTAGAGAAGAAAGTTTCTCTGAGGGTAGTGGGCTGACTATGAAGGTATATTATGTTCTGTTACCAGAAGAGCAGAATCTAGTGTATAAAGGTGTCAGCTAGAGGATCTAGGATATTGCTGGTAGAATGAAGCATAATTATCCAGCACAATGCACAGTGTTTCTAGGGCCTGACCACTGGTGGTAGAGGAGAAGACTCTCAGACATTGGAGGTGTCTATTTGCCAAACTGATTTAATGTTGCGCTTCAAGAGACTTTTAAGTGCGGGCAATTGGTGCTAGAGTCTAAGTTCTGTTAGCTGGTTACTTTGTTTGGCAGGGATTTGAACTTGAACATGTTGTTATCATCCTTTTCTTTTAAAAACTTATATCTACCTTGTGAAAATGTGGGTTTTAGTATGAACAGAAAGTGATGTCTGTCCTTTGCCTTAAGAAGTGCTATAATTCTAATAAGACTCCTTTTAGATGGTGTTTTTAAAGAGGTATAAAATACAGTAAAGAGATGATAACGTCCTAATTGTAAAGCAGCAGAAGACTTCACATACAACAAAAAGACATTAAACTGTGTAAACATAAAAAACTTCTGGATAATTATAAAGAAGAACACTAGAATAAAAAATGAATAGATTGGGAAAAACACAAGCATTAAATATGTTGGGCAATCAATTACATAGCAATCAATAGCCTGAATTTTGGAGTCAGATGTAATTCACAACTCCCCTATTTACTAGCTGTGTGTTCTTGGGCAAGCCACTTAGCCTTTCCAAGTCAAGTTTAATTTTCTGTTATGAAAATGTTTTTAGTTAATATAAGGATTAAATGAGATAATATATGTAACAAAGTATGTGATATGTAGTAAGCACTGAATTTTAGCTATGATTATTATAAATTATTCAGTATGATTCAAATTATAAGGGCCTCGAGATTCCAAAAACAAAAGAGACAAAGTATGTGAATGGTGTTTTTAATTGGGAATCTGCACCTGCCCTCACCAACACATGTAAAAAAAATCCATGTCAAATTCTTTGTTCTCCAAGAAGTCATTCTTGGATTCCTACCTGATCCAACCAGATCCTCCCTTGATCTCTTGCAACCCCCTGTAAGCAGTGTTACTTCTCTACTTTAGCAATTTCTCATAATGAATCCATTTACTAAAGCTTTGTGTTTTTTTACTTATGTCTTCAACTAAACTGTAAGCTTTTTGAAGGCTTTTAACTTTATAATCATTTTTAACCCCCAAATATTCCAAAACTAAATACATATTGAAGAAAAATGTACTAAATTGAATTTAAATGTAGATGCACTTAAATGGTGACTTTTCACTCCTATTTTCTGAAGTATTTGCATTTTATATTATACTGAAATTTTTGAACAGAGCATGGATTATGTTCTATTGTACATCTATTTTGAAATCACAGTGAGGAAAGCTATGTGAATTTTAGAGCAGCTGGTTTGTTTCTAGGTAGCACATTCATTCTGCAAACAGCTCAATATGAATACCAAATTTAAACCTCATCTTAAGTCCATGTTATTATGACTGATGACACTGTTGGATATGGAATCTTAAAATGATTTTAGATACATTAGCATACCCAGGTTGACTTAGGGGTTAATCAGTGAAAGCCAAGTATTATTGTTATACATAACATCTGCGTTTAGATGCATCCAACTGTGTATATTATTACTTTTTTTTCCCATGGACGAACTTTACTATATTGTGCCTCATCACTAGTATGAAATCAGGTTTACATTGTATGTACAGATGCAGAACAAAGAAATTATGACACACAGGGAAAAATATTTTCTAACTATCACTATACAATTATAGATTCTATATATAATGTTCCATAGTGATTGACATCCAAATTACTTTTTAGTATTGTTGAGTGATGGTGTCTTCCTTCGATATATTTTTCTTTTTTCATTTCATTTAAATTTCAAATTCATAGACACAACGAATAATTAAATTCTGATTAAAATAACCATGTGCTGATATTTTTGATGAAGAGGAGCTAGAAAATGATGCATTTGATTTCACTTCCAGCTGTTAATTGGATTGTCATATCATATAAACAATGAAATTTTTACTGAGGATATGAAGATAGCATTGAGTCTTATAGATTGGATATTCCAAACATCAGACCTGAATGTCTGCCTTTCAATATATGAGACATAAACCTTGAAATTTATTCACTATTACATCCTGACATGCTCTTCTTAAACATTGGAACATAATATTGATTTAAATTTTACCTTAGAATTTCCTTCCTTATTCTATTTAATTTTACTTACTATATATTGGAAGTATTGGAGGAAGTACTAGAAATGGAGAGGCGAACTAGTGATTTGATGGTGGAGTCCTCAAGGAAGTGTGAGTCAGAGAAAGGATGAGAAATTGACATTTGACCAAAACTGGAAATGGAGCACTAATAATTATCTATTTATTGAGATGACTTTACAGAATATTTGCTTGTTGCTTCATTTATATTCTGTTTTTGTGAAGGATTATCAAATCTTCTTTGAGACTACAGTCGTTTAAAAAGGGTTTTCTTAAGCTCACAGTTTACATTAGTTCATAAATTGTAGCTATAACCAACTTTATTTTAAGTAGTGTGAAAAGATTTAAAGTGATAGTGTAAAGGAATTAATATTTTCTGTTTTCAAAAGATGTCCTAATATCTTAATTAATATTTGAAATATCCAAAATCAAATAAAACTGCACCATAGTAAAATCAATGTGAAAAACAGCTCGGATTTTTAAGAGCTCTGTGTTTGGCATGTAGTCTACAATTGAGCAAACTGGGATTGTCTTGAATGATGGCAAAGGAAGTAGTTCCTATCTTGCCCCATCTATTCATTTAATCATTTATTTAAGAAACCTTCTTTGAATGTTTAAATGAGATACAAAGAAAAATACAAAAATCTGGTCTAAAAATTCACAGTCCCAGAGTGGAGCTTAAGAATGGAGAACTAAAGAGAAATGGACATAAAATTACAATAAAAGAGAATAATAGAACCTTGTATGTGGTGTTAGGGAAAATAGATAGCAGCCCCTAACTCTGTAGGAGGGGGAGACTAAGGTATCTTCGCACAATACGTGACATTTTATTGTAATGTTTAAAAATGGTAAGTGTTTTCCAGGAGAATCTGTGGGGAAGGACACTTCAGTCACAGGGAACATATATATATATGTAAAGGCATGGATGCATTTAAAGCCTTCAGAACTGTATTTGCCTTTGAATTGCCTAGGAGCCCACTTTCTCATTTCAGTACCCATGAGAGTAAATGACAACAGAGGAAACCAGGTCCCAGACTGTGTAATTATTTAGCGTTTATTGAACATTATCATGCTAGATGCTAAACTGAATCTTGTTAGGTCCTTTCTCTACCCGGTGAGTATGGTCCAATTAAAAAGACAACCAAGGCAGGGATTAAAACAGCATCAAATCAATCAGCAGCTCTGTTTTAAGGGCCTACGGCTGTCCATATAGAGATTTATAGATTAACTGCGGCACTTCGAATTGCACTGGGGATGAAATTGGCAGCAGGTGCAAACCTCATTCAAAGTGTAGATTTATTTTGCTTCAGGCAGCAGAACCCAAAGGTAGGTGGGCTGCCCATTCTAGCCCTTCTGAAATTTTATGGTGGTCCAAGGGTAGCCTCAATTAGGAGACCCATGTGTAATCCAGCTCTTTTCTAAGCTACCAGTAGTAATCATGAATTTATAAAAACTATGAAATGTTCTGTGATACTAGATAATATGGGTGGAATTTTGTACAATTTTGGGTTATTCAGCCAGGAATTTGGAAAATAATATATCCATTTGTGCAGTTCTAGAACCTTGGTGATTGAAATCTTTCTTTCCTCTAAAGGATTATTGGGAATAATCTCTAAGAATGTAGTTTCAGGGTTATAATTAAAGCTATCATAACTTTGTGCTCATATAGAATGAGACATAAAATGCCATAGCAAAATGACAATTTTTATTTTTTTAAATGAAGGGCATTTTATTTTAGTAGTTGAAGTAAGTGATTTTAGTCTAACCTTAACTGTATATGCCAAAGACAATTTACGGATATATTACAAGTTACAGATCTATTATGCCAAAGACAAGTTACAGATATATTACCATTATAATGTCTGGAATACAGAGTTCTAAAGTTAAATCAAATATTTCATTGCTTTCATGATTTATATTACGTGAAATTAATGGCTCAATCAATGTAATTTATTAAAATGTATATTTTGTTTTAGGCCTGAATAATATTCATGTAAGAGACTGAGTACTAAGTAGTGCCACTGTAGGGATTTTAGATGGCTGAACTAATTTGTGTGCATTTTCTCACATATTGCATTTCCTCCTCATCTGTATTTTGATGTTAGATTTGTTTGCTTTCTCATGTTCACTGTATTTATTCCTTACATTTACATCTTTGCTGAATGCTGAGCTAGAATTCTGAAGTTACTTGATATTCCTGTGAACTTGGGCAGGCTACTTAAACACTCTGAGCCACCGTTGAGTCACCTTGAAAATGGTTACAATGATATTGGTTCTGCCTCTCCCACAGGGGTGCTGTAAGGATCAAGTAATTCAATGCTTTCCAGAGTTTCAAGTTATAAGCAGTTAGAGCAGATACTATATTGATTACATATTCTAAAGTTTGTATTTGCACATATTACAAAAGCAAGTTTGTCTTTTAATAGATTTGTGCTGCTTTCTTTGCAGAGTGAGGGAACTTACTAAAGAGATCAAAGATTCCCCAGACAGTTAGCATAAGTATCTTTAGGCTTGGAAGTGTGGCTGCAGGTGTTAACGGCAGGCACCTAACTCCTAGAACTTCAGCTTTATTATCCTACAGGTCATGACTTACAAAGCAATACAATTTCACATCGTTCACATGCTACAGAGATGAGTTAGGTGACAGATTTATTTCATGAGAGTAACTCCCCAAATATTAACTGTATACAGCTGACTTTGTAGTCTACTTCTAGAATTAATCCTCATCTTTGCCTCCCCTCTCTATTTCTTGCAACCGTTGGTAGGCCTTTTGTCCAAATTATTTTGCATTCAATGTTTGTGAATGTGTGAACTTGTATGTACATCAAGAAGAGTATATAATACTTCAAAATCTGAGCTCTTCTATAATTTATAATTTGTTATGTCTGTGGTTGAAAGAATTTACCATGCAATAACCAAGACTGAAGGTGTAGTTTAAAATATAGCTTTGGAAATATAACTTTGAGTAACAAAATTGTATTCCTCATTTCAGAACATGATGAGTGTATCACAAATCAGCACAACTGTGATGAAAATGCTTTATGCTTCAACACTGTTGGAGGACACAACTGTGTTTGCAAGCCGGGCTATACAGGGAATGGAACGACATGCAAAGGTAAAAGGTTTAAATGCCAGTGCCTCTTCCATTATGTATAATGCCATCCATCTCTACCTTCCTCTACACCTTATCATTACTGTTATGTACATTCCAGGTACTTCCTACAGACATCAAAAGCTTTGGTGTGTGGCTCATAGTCTTTCCCTCAGGTCTTGACATCCTCCTGGGTTACTTCAGTGTTTAAGTGACCAAACCATTCAGCTCCTTTGACCTAATGTTCCTTGACCTTAGCCACAGTGGTTTTCATCTCTGTTCCTTTCTATCAAACCCACACCCATCACCACATCCTGGGCATTTTTGTGGAGAACTGCTCCATCTTGGAAGTCTTAAACTTCAACATTCTATTGTCTAATCCCAAGTTCCTCTTCTTCCAGTTTGCTCAGTCTGTTCTTTCTACACCTTTTGATCTTTAATTTCGTTGAACCTTCCTTTTCATCCAGTTTAGCACTCTCCCAGCTTCAGATGTTTCTTTTCGAGCCCAAACATGCGTACATCATCATAGCTGTTTTCTGGCAGCGTTGTCAACCTATTTGTTATGCTACCATGTGAATCAACTCCATTTTGAGTCAGTAGGACAGTTTTTTTTTTTGTTTTTTTTTTTTTGCTCTCTTGTGAGCTGTCGGAGGCTACTGTGGAAGATTAATTAACCATGAATATTGATTCTCTACATGTTATAGTTTCCTATTTTAGCTTCTTTGTTAATGCCGATTGATCATTCTTTTAAATGTCCCATTGAAATCAGATTTCTTTTTCCATCAGTAGACAATACAACTGTAGTTCACCACAATCCATTAACTCGCCTTTTCCCCCACTGTACTCTTTCCCTCCTACCTCCTAAGGGAAATAGAAGACCTTTTTGGAAACTGTGAACTCCCATAGTATAACATTTACATCCCTTATAATGTCATATGATTTATCCAATTTAGGCATTTTAAGCTTCAAAACTGCTGATTTCTCAAATATACCGTGTCCTTTATCTCAGAGTTCACTAAAATCAGTTTGCTATGATACCGTGTCTGTGTGAGGTAGGAAAGAACAAGGAATAGTTGTTAACGCAGTGTCTTATAAGGATGGTTCTTAAGGCCTGGTCTACAAAAATACACTGTAGCCAGAGATGGGTAGGCCAGAAGATTACCCTGATTTTCAAAACTCCATGGAAATCATCAGTGTAGGTCATTTTGAAAAAGGCCTAATTATTTGGGGATTCAAATCCCACAAAAATTTGCTTGGAAAAACTAAACAAATCCTGAGAAAAGCTAGACTTTTAGAATGTAAAGTATAGTACAGCAGTTCCCTCTTACCCACAGTTTTGCTTTTGATGGTTTTAGTTACCCACAGTCAAATGCAGTCTGAAAATGTTAAATGGAAAATTCTAGAAATAAACAATTCTTAAGTTTAAAACTGTGCACCATTCTGAGTAGCATGATGAGATCTCTCACTGTCCAACCTCATGCTGCCTGGGATGTGAATCATCCCTTTGTCCAGTGTGTCCACACTGTCTACAACTAGCCACCATTAGTCACTTAGTAGCCTTCCCGATTATCAAATACACTGTTGAGGTATCACAATGCTTGTATTCACGTAAACCTTATTTTCACTGGGCTTGGTGGCTCACACCTGTAATCCTAGCACTTTGGGGGGCCAAGGCAGATGGATTGCTTGAGTGTAGAGTTTGAGACCAGATTGGGCAACATCTCCACCAAAAAACAAACAAAAACAAAACAAAACAAAAAACAAACACCATGTACAAAACCTAACTCAAAATGGGTAAAACAAAAACAAGTAATTTTTATTTTACTGTTAATGGCCCCAAAATGCAACATAATTGACCTATTTTATTATAAATTACTGTTGTTAATCTCTTACTATGCATAACTTATACTTTAAACTTTATCATAGTATGTCTGTATAGGAAAAATATATATATACATATATATATGTATATATATATGCAAAAATAGATTTCTGTGCTGTCTGAGGTTTCAGGGATCCACTGGGGATCTTGAAATGCATTTCCAATGCATGAGCGGAGACTACAATATAACTAAGTCCTTAGGACTTCCCCCAAATCACCTGAAGGTTCTGAGAGTTTGCTTAGGCTTAAGGTTTCATCTAGGAGCCCAAAAGCTTTTCTCTTATTTCTGCTTGATACAAATTCCTATGTAGTATGAAGAATAAAGTTCATAGAATAAAGAGCTCTGAAAATTATGAACAGATGCAGACAGATAATTCTTGTATTTGAAAGAAGGAGAACTTTCAAGGATCTATAAATTCCTTCTGGAAGTTAGGACTACAGGTTGCCCGAATAAAGACTGTTCGGTTCCTGTATATCTTTGTTTGGAATGGGAAAAATCTGAGAGATAAGTAGATTAAATGTAGGAGCTGAATCATTGAGTTCTGTGCGGTATCAACAGGCTGCAACCTTGCAAATTACTCCAGTGAAAATATGTACATGGTCTGACACGCACATTCTTTATCACTTATGAGGTTTAAACCAAAGAAGCCAAATGGACTCTTTGAGTCCATTTCTTTAACTCATCACTAGAATTTCAGATTTCTACATTTTATTACTCTGAAAAAGTGTATTCTACCTAACTAGAGGAAGCACATGCCAGAAAACTATAGAGAAAACTTTTGTCTTAATGCCGGGAACAAGCTGGTCTAATTCACTCATTATAGACTTTGTCAGGCTGAGGAAGCAGCTGCTGAGCCTTACAGAGCCAAAGAATAAGCCAAAGTGGAAATAAAAGCTTCTAAAGGGGGCTCAGTCTCATCCATCTTGTTTTTCTCTTCTTCTCTTGTTGTACTCACTTGTCTTGCTCTTCTCTCCTTCTTTTATGCACTTCTTCGAAGACAGCACATTTCAAGAGATCGCCCTTGCAATGGTACAGACCTTGGCTCCCTTGCAATGGTTCAGCTTCCTACTCACAGAACAACTTGCCTCATTCCCAAAACCACTCTGATAAAACAGGTTATATAGTGTCTTGGCCCTTGATCCTGGATTCTGACCTATCCTTAGCAGAGGAATTTAAGAGTCTCCCTGAAGACCACTCTAATGAATTTTTCTTACTATTGGTTAATTCATTACCAGGACCCGCTTACAAATTTTTGAAGGATGGAACATTTCCTACTATTTTGGCACTTTGGCTAGTGTGCAAAATGGTCAGAGCCTCATGGGATTCAACCATTTCCTGTTTCATGGTCTCGTTCTTTAGATGGTGGTTTGCTCCATCTAGGATAGCTGCCATTTTCAGGTTTATTTTCAAGGTGGATTGTTACAATGAGAAGAAATCTGAATTTTAATGTACTTCCTATTGTGTAAATTTGCTGTTTGTTGTTCAAATAAATTTCAGTATTTTGTTTTAAGGGTGAAATACTTCTTTAACATTGGAAAGAGTACTGTTTTACAAGTTGTGTTGAAGTTTCTTAAATGTATGGGAAATATTACATGAAAACAAAATTAAAATAGCTTTTATAATTTGATGTTTACATCTCCAAGGGGATAATGAAAAGCTAGGTTTGGAGTTTATTAAACTACTTACTTCTAAAGTGCTAAAATCATGTATCTGAATTATTTTAGCATTTTGCAAAGATGGCTGTAGGAATGGAGGAGCCTGTATTGCCGCTAATGTGTGTGCCTGCCCACAAGGCTTCACTGGACCCAGCTGTGAAACGGGTAAGAATATCATTTCATCTTCTAGAAAATGAATTTTTATGCCAATGCATAAAGTAATCCATGAGGAAAATAATGTTTCAAGTTTCAAGTGGGCTCTCAAAGCATGGAGCTATTAATAAGGAAGTGATAGGAGGGAGGAGGTGGGAAGTTTCAGTGATGCATTTCGCTGGGCGATTCCCCAAAGTCACTCTAAAAAGGTTTTGCAGCTATTATAACTAGACGCATATTGAACTTTTCAGAAACATGTGTGGAATTACCCAGGATTTTATGACTTCATAATTCATTTTACTCATTTGGAATCCATTTTTACTGGAATCTATATGACTATATTAAAGCCTAGATTTCAAGCTTATGGCCAACTCAGTGCCGAGAACACACTATCACCTGCATCCACAATTAGGAATTTTTAATAAATTTTTATCTGGCCCTTTAATTATTCATTAATAATTATTTATCTGGAAAATAATTAAAGTTTTCTACTCCTCAATTATTTCTCATTCAGATCCATTCTGAACTTACTCTTTCTGATGGACGTGAATATTAAAAACTTTAAAAATTATTTTAAAAACAATATATAGTCTACATATAACTTATAACCCTAAAGTAAAATACGTTGTCCAATGAAAAACACATCTTGGGAATTTAAAAAAATGTTTTGAGTATTAAGTCCTAATTAAAATCATACTAGTAGTGGTTTTGGTTGCATTGGGTTCAGTAGGTTCCAATAGTGATGACCTCAGAAAATCAGGTTATTCTTCCTAAAAGAAAGCTTCTGCCACTGGCAATTGACAGTTGTCATCTCATACTGCTTTTCATAAATCTCAATGCAATAGATACAGTACATGCTCTGCCTCTATTCCACTTGCAGAGTCATCTAGTTTAATAAAAACACTGATTTACCAGAATGTGAGACAGAAAATGTTCTGCTCCATTTGGGAAGTGAACATTTTACTGAATAGAATCTGCTACTGTGCACAGAAGGATGCTCACAAAAGGGCTTACATCACTAGATCATCTCTTTCTATAAGTACTGCTAAGTGGTGTTTTTCAAACTTCAGTGACTGATTTCAAAAGTCTGTGACGGACAATGCATAGTGTCTATCTTTGGTATGTAGGATTCTTTCTTAAGGGGATCATTTCCTAAATCAGAAGCTCCCTAAATTTATTGTGCATGAGAGTCACCTATAGAGATTGATAACTTGTTAGAAATACAGGTTTTTAGTAACTATCATATGATATACTAAATCAAATCAGGCACCTCTACTGCAGTAGTCCTCTCATGTTTCTATGGCATGCTCTCCACCAGTTTGCCCCTACACATCAAGGTGCACTGTGGACCTCCTGCACATCAACACCTCTGATCACAAGGCTTCCTGAATACAATATTTGTGTGCCGCTTCTGGTACAGAGGCTGGATACAGAAATACTGGCTTTTTCAGGACATTTCAATGGTGTGAAGATAATGGTGTGGAATTTTGAAATAAAAGCTGTCCCAGAAAATCTGGGATGAACAGTGGCCGTGCACAATCCTGCACAGGATTCTTCCACTAGGAGAAAATATCACAAGATTGTAGAAATCTGGAATGGCATAAAATTAATACTGGCAATGTAATATTTAAGACTGGAGTTAAAAATAACCCAAGAGAACATGTAGCTATCTCTATTTCATTATACTTGAACCTTCAGTCTGTAAGAAGACAATCCCAGACTGATTCTAAATAGCTGTCTGTGGCAGCCAAGGGCTTTGAGAACAGATGTGGACTCAAAATTTAGTTGTACTGTTTATATGTTATGTTGCCTTGGGCAAGTTACTTAACTTCCCTCTGTGTTGTACCCTTTATACATCACCTTACTCTTCGCCATTCTCTTCTAAGGCAGTTATTATCTGTATTTGCATACAGAAATACTGGGTTCAGGGTGTTTAATGTTTTCCTTTTTCCTAGCATCAGAGTTAGAAGCTGATACAAAGGTCATTCTGCTCCCAAATCCAGGCTTTTATCCAGTGCATCCCAGTATGTTTCTTTGGGGGGCCTTAAATCCAAAGACCTCAATCTGAATTCATTATCTCCTCCATGATTCATGCCTCACCAGTTACCATCCTCTACCAAAACCTGAATATTCTTTTCTTCCTTCCTTACTAGTTTATTTCAGCGAATAGCCACCTTATCCACCAAGTCTTCTAAGCCAGTCATCAGGGAGCAATTTCCCTCTTGTCCTCTTTCACATCCAGTCAAATCCTTTTGATTCCTTGTCTTTACCAGGGTCCATTTTTTCTATTCTGGTCAGTGCTACAGTTGTTGGGGACTTTCAGGTTTGTCTCTGGCTAGTCCAGTATCCACAGAATAACAGAGCACAAATCTGATCATATCACTCCAGACTGAAGAAAAACTTTCATGTTCCCCATTGCCCTCAGGATAAAGGCCACATTTTTAACATGATAAATAAGGCCCTTCAGGATTTGGCCCTGCATATCTACCCAGCTTTACCCTCTTGTCCTTCTGCCATCTCACTTCATTCCCACCCCCAGGCAGTGAATCTCATGAGGGTACAGGATGTATCTTATTTGCTTTTGTATCATCACGAAACAGTACAAGGCCTGCCTCTTAGTAGTTGTTCCATAAATATTTGGTGAATAAATAAATGCACACATGAGTGATCAATTAAATGATGAAGAAAAAGATGGTGTGGCTGTGTCCATATTTGTTGGACTTTTCTGAATATTAGTTGAAGCTTTCAGAGTTATCTAGTTCTGTACTATCATATGGCAGATATGGCACAGAAACGTGAAGTAGCTTATATAGGTGTTTCATTGTTGATCCAGATCTACATTCTAGAACTTGGGTCTTCTGATTTCTAGCCCAGTGTTTCTCTTTTCCTTCCTTCCCCTTTCTCTCACTCCTTCCTCTTTCCTTGCTTCCCTCCCTTTCTTCCTCTCTCTCTCTTTCCTGTCCTGCCTTCCTCCCTCCTTCTCTTTCTTCTTTTCTTCCTGCTTTCCTTTATTTCTTATGCCATGCTTCGTCCCAGGAATTCATCACACCATCATCCTTCATCAGGTCTCTGCCTTTTGTTATGCCCCCTTCAACCTGTTGTCTTTAACAGTGAAGACTGTGGCAGTTTTTCTCTGCAAAGTTAAAGGATGCTTCCAGATTGACAAAATTTCCAAGTATAGGAATGGCCTAAATTTGGCCTGCTGGAGTTGGATGCTGCCTGATAGCTTAGAAAGGAAATTATTGTGCAGCCCCAGTGGCCATCTGCTGAGCCATCACAGTGGAATCACTGAGGATGAAATAATAGGATTTACTTGCTTTTTGAAATCTTAATGTGTCTTGCACTTACCACCCCTTGTTCCTTTAGTTGAAGTCTCTTCTGAAACACCCTCCCCTCATTTCTGTTTCTGCATCATGTGTATCTTAGTAGGAATGGTTGCATTCATTTACCACTTCACAAAAGGGCGATGTGTATGATTTTTACTGAGCGAAATTAATTTTTTATGGACTTCTTTTTTAGCCACTGTATAAAATCACCCGCATGTACAGCATAACTTCATTTTTAATTAAATATCCTAAGATTCCATCAGGTGTTTAACTTGGATTTAGCAGGGTGATTATTTCTTGGGTAATTCAATAAAATGTATTAGAAAGCTGAAGCTATGTGCCAAGGTTTACAGCTTTATCACTGCCATATTGTATTTATTACACAATTGCTAAACCTCAGCAAATATGTGTCTGATGATCTAATTAATATACAAAGCTATCTTATTATACTAAAAGCAAATCTTTCAGTAATGATTTAAAGCATAACTCTAAAAGATTTGACAGTCCCCTACAAGCACTTGCTGACTTAAATCAAATTAAAATATTTATAACTGGGAAAAAGTTGGTAACAAATGGCAAAGCTGAAAAAAAATTGCTGCAGTATCAAAGAAGAGATCAGACATTTTGATGATAAATGCTTTTTTTTTCTGTGCAAATAATGGATTTCTTAGCCACATATCAAAGCATAAGATGAGATTTTAATTATTTTTGTGAGTTGTTAAATGAATATAAATTTAAGTTGCACCCCTAAGTGTTTTTGTAGCTTTTTAATATGTGTTGTTTCAAAATGACAAAAATGAAGCATGAGGCCTACATGAGTGTTGCTTTACTTCAAAAGTAACTTCAAATGGATTGAGGTTGGTTGATTTTTTTTAAGTTTATTTTATTACTGTTATAGTATGGATAATAGAAATTATTTTTGTTAGAAAAAAGTTATCTTGCTAGTTATATCCAAAGTTAGCATTTATTATTAATGTCAAACTATTACATTTCCTGGCATGGCCAAATTAGCACATTTTTCATCATAAAAGGTATATGTTGATTTCATTAATATTTGTTTTTTTAAGGCATATTTTTTCCAGAAATATGTATAAGTGTATATCATTTTTACATACGAAGTCTAAAAAAATTCAGAAGCAAGGGAAAATTCTCAGAACAGTTGGGACATGGCATACCTTTTCTTACCAATATGACTCACAGTGGAAATACATTACCAAAATATATATCTTTATGTGAGAAAAGAGGAGAAATTGAGAAGAAAATCTGAGACAATTTGATAAAAAGAAATTAAAAAGAAAAACTGTAGATACATCTGCTTTTCCAATAAGAATTTTTTAGTTTTATTTTGAATTTATTCTGCTTTATCTGAACAAATGCAAATTTCATGTACACAAATCATTAAATATACTTTACTGTAATAAAGACAATTTGGAATTAAGGAAGCTTTGCTTCTAGTTCTTTACTATCCTATTAAATTCAGTTTTCTGAATCTTAATTTTACAAGGGAAGATCTGCAAAGTAGCTCTTGGGTAGATTTTGCAGAGTGGGCACATACTCATGGAGGGTTCTGTTGATCTGCCTAAGGGATCTACACTCATGCTCACTCACTAGACACATCTGATCTTGAAACTGTCTCCAGTGATAAAAGTGATTCAATTATGTTTGATAAATGAATGTGTTTTAATGAACTTTGTGTGAATTAGGGGTGTAGATACCAATGATTCTTTTTCTGTTATAAAATGAACAAATAAAACAACAAACAAAAAGCACTCTCACCAAAGGCTTTTTGACCGTACCCTGCTTGAATTGGCTTAGATAATTAAGACGTAACTTCTCTTTATGTTGGTGATCCTTAATCTGTTTTAAATAAGATTTTAATTGCTTAATGTTATGCCAAACCCCAGTTCTCCTTGAAGAATTTAACATAGTGGTCAAGAACACAAAAGTTGAAGTCAGAGAAACATTGGCCTGAGAACTAGTTCTATTACCAGCCAGCTATGTGACCCTTTTCATGTTATTTCCTTTTTTTCACTATGCCTTAATTTGTGCATGTAGAAAATAAAGATGATAGTAATATCTATCTCATGGGTTTGTTCTAGAGATTAAATGAAGTAAGGCACATAGCACCATGTTGAAGACTTGGTAAGCACTCAGTAAATGACACCTGATATGATGATTTTGTAAATTTTAAGTTGAACTGTAAATAAACTTTTATAGACAGAACTGTTTGAGACTCTTTGACATCCTTGAGTTAGCTGGAGATGCCCTGAGATGTTATAAGAGAAAGGTTAAGAGCAATAAAGGATTCTAGTTTTCTTGATCCATTCATAAACCAGTTTTAAGTATAATTTTACTGTACTATAGTGGTTTAAAATGTTTAATTTAGTGATTTGCATTCTGTACATTTGCTTAAAATTGCTTTATTTTTGTCCTAATGCAAACTTTAAAAATTAATCTTTTATGAAAATATAAATCTTTATATTATTCAAAAAGTAGTCAAAAGTTCTTAGTGTTAAATCTCAAAGTCATTCTTCCAAGTCCTTCAGGTTAATTGGAAAAAATCTAACTCACTCTATATATCAGTCGTGTATAATAGATAACAACTATGATGGGGAAATTTTTCAGACTCTTTTGTTGTAAGGCCTACCTAATTAACACTGGAAATGAGGACACATCATGGAGAAAATGTAAGAGGAAAAAAATAGCTTTCAAGCTGTTAGAGAGCAGGTCTCCAAGAAAAAGAAAAAAGCCAAGTGGAATTAGTTGGGAATTTGGATAAGATCTTCAGTTTTATTTTAAAAATATTATTTTTTTCAATAGATCATTTTTGTATATTAACTTGTATTGTGCCTTTGAATTCGCAGGATCCCTATTCCCTCTTATTTTTTTATTTGAAACTAGCCAAATGGAGTCACTTTTAAGATAATTGTTTAAATTTGTTTTAAAATTAATTGAATATTAATATTTTGAATAAACATTATGTACATATTGTATAAAATTTAAAAGTACAAAGAGCATATAATGAAAAGTAAATTTCCTTTATAGCCATTTCCCAACCATTGCTTTTTCCCTTAACAAAATATCCTGGAAATCATACCATAGATAAGTCCTTGTTAGACAGAGTAGTTCAAATAGGAAAGCTGAGGCTTTCTGCCATTCAAATAGTAGACTTTTAATTTGTAAAAGTCTGGGTGTCAATAGGAATACATGTCTTAGGGCCAAGATCTTTCTCTTTTTGGGGGGTGCCCCCATGTGTTGGCTGAGAATGTTCTGCAATTTTCTCATTCATAAATTCTGATTTTTTTATATAGATAAGCTGATGAACGTCTATTGATCAGAAGTATAATCGGGGGAGGCATAAACTTAATATGCTGGAGAAACGTTGTTGAATGCAACATTTTATTTATACTGAAATTGTTTTTGTTTTTTGCATTCTATTCCTCCCTTATTTGTTTCATTTCTTTCTTCTTGAAGGATATATTTTAGTACTCTCTTAGAGCAGTTCTATTAGTGGCCAACTCTTGGGTATAGAATTCTAGGTTTTCCGGCCGGGCGCGGTGGTTCACACCTGTGATCCCAGCACTTTCGGAGGACGAGGCGGGCGGATCACGAGGTCCGGAGATCCAGACCATCCTGACTAACACGGTGAAGCCCCATTTCTACTAAAAATACAATAAATAAATAAATAAATAAATAAATAAATAAATAAATAAATAAATAAATAAATTAGCCGGGCGTGCTGGCGGGCGCCTGCAGTCCCAGCTACTCGGGAGGCTGAGGCAGGAGAATGGCGTGAACTGGGGAGGCGGGGCTTGCAGTGAGCAGATATCGCGCCACTGCACTCCAGCCTGGGCGGCAGAGCGAGACTCCATCTCAAAAAAAAAAAAAAAAAAACGGAATTCTAGGTTTTCCCTACGCACTATGAAGGCAGTATTCCATTGTTTTTGGGGGGCCTCTGAGGTTTCTGTTCAGAAGTCTGCTTTCAATTCAATTGTAATTCATTTTAAAACATAGTCTCTTTCTCTCTAATTACTTTCAAGGTTCCCTTTTCTTTGGAGTATGTGGTTTCAAAGCATTGTGCCTGCGTATGAATTTATTAATATTTTTATTTACCTTGCTAGGGACTCCTTTAGACGACTGAATCTGAAGAGTTAACCGCTTTCATCGTTTTGGAATCCACTCAATATTTATCCCTTCGGATATTGCTTCTTTCCCCTTCTCTTTATTCTCTCCTTCTGGAAATATGTTGGCCCTTGTCTTTTCTATAATTCTTCACTTTCTTTTATACTTTTCATCTCTTTATCTCTCAGTGTTGTGCCTTTGATAATTTTTCAAACCTATCCACCAGTGTACAGATGAATTCATCAGCTTTGTCTGATCCATTATTTAGTTTATGTTAGTTTTTAAATTTTAATAACTTTTTAATTTCTAGGAGTTCTCTTTCTCATATCTTTTGGTTCTTTTTTCCTTAGTTCTTATTTTTGTCTTGTGGTTTTGATTCCTTCTTTTATGTCTTTCACAATTTTAAACGTACTCATATTATATTATAAAATTTACAGCATTGCTCTATTGCCTGAAGTTCGAGGGGATCTAAATTATCTTTTATTGTGTTTGCTGACTTTTGCCTCATGATTGTTTCCTCATATGTTTTGGACTTTTGGTGTCTGACCTTATTATCTTCATTGAAGCTTTACCTGTGAAGTCTGAGATCTTTTCCCTCCAGGGAAAATTTACATTTGTTTCCGCAGGTGTAGCAGGGGTATTACAATGCATAATTTGCATTAATGTTTTTGCCAAGTGGTATGCCACACAAATTATATAAATTTTTAACTTCAAAATTCTGTAAGAGCTAACATTTCTTTTTCTCCCCACTCAAGCATAGGTAGAAATAATGTCTCCTCCTAATCGCCTGTGCTGGTGGATTTTTTTTATCTGTGAGTGCGTGAGAGAGAGAGAGAGAGAGAGAGAGAGTGTGTGTGTGTGTGTGTGTGTGTGTGTGTATTTCTTTCTTACTCTTAAACTGAGGGGCAGGCCTTCCAAGGATTCTGCCTATGCTGGAGTCTTGAGCCTCCTATAAGACCAGGTTCACTCTGTTGTCAATCACTTGGCCCATAAATCCATATCTGGTGTTTGGCTTCTTATGCCACATAGGAATTTTCATTTTTTCAATGAGGTCAGTTATAAGTTTAATATTATATTTTTAAGCCATGTGTATGTAGAAAGATTTTCAGGTTATGCAGGTCTCAGTATTGCTGGAATAAGAAAGAAAATCACCTGTTTTAAACATAAGTATGATTTCACTGATGCTCAGTGAATGACTCCTAAGAGTGATGAACTTTGGCCATTCAGAAATCTGCAGACTGTGAGGTGAAACTTATGATGAGAGAATGTAAATGAGGAGGAACATAGGAAAAAACAATAATGATATGAAGTTTATGAGGTTTACTAGGAATGGAGCTGGGGGATGAGGCTGTTTTTTTCCGTTCCTAAATTTCTAATGCTCCCAGAGTCTGTACTTCTTCCCAAAGGGTTCTCATCTATGGTCAGTGTCTATTGCTTTCTGTCATGGAAACTTTCTGGAAGAAGCCACTAGGACTTAGGTACAAAAAAAAAACCTTACAGCAGTCAGCCCTATCCATCTAATAGATAACTCTCCCTTAAAAACTTACTGTTTTTTTTTTTTTTTTTTTTGAGAGAATAAATTATATTCCAGGTTAATTTTTTTAGACTTACAGTAAAATGTGGTGCACAAGGATCAAGTTAAATAGCAAATAATGGATTTTGGGCCAAGTTAAAGAAGAACAATCAAATTTGTGAATGACAGTTTTGAGAGGGTAGCTTATATGACAAAAGACAGGATCAAGATTCAGAGCTATTCAAATTGTAGGAACAATGGGATCAAATAACATTATGACACTTGACAAACAAAAGCATCTCCTGCATTTGTCCTGCTTTCAGCCCTCAACATTTCTAGATCCTTAATTCTGATCTCTTCCATCTTTGGCCCACACTCATTGTGTTCTTTGCCCCTTTCCTTTAGTTTTCTTTTCTTTAGGTGTCTGTCTTTCCTCCCTTACCTTTTTCCTCATTCCCTCCCACTGGAGTATGAGTTCCATGGAAAGTAGAGATGGAACCTATGATTTTGTGTTTTTCATAGGGCTTGTCATCATGCTTTGCATATAGTAGGCAGTCCATGAATATTAATAAAGTATAAATACACTCTTGCATTTAGGTTAGAAAAACCAACTGTGCAACATAGAGGGAACTAAGTTTAACAGTTTTTATGCTTTATTTGGCTACTGATTCGAAGTTAAGTATGAGCCAAAAGTATAATGTGCTAGCTTTAAAAGAAAATGCAAACTTAACCTATAATTAAAAGAAACAGGGTCTATGAAACAAAACTCTCCTTAAATTCTACGTTACTTATTTTATAATGGCATACTGTATTTACTTTGGGCCAATAGTTTTAAGAGGCTATCAGCAAATGGAAGCATAATTGAGGAAAAGTTTTCCAGGAGATGAAAGTCCTGGCAGATATAAGAGGGTAGTTGAATAAATCTTCATCAGGAATATTTTTTTAAAAAATAAGAAAAATGAAAGGTGCTGTAAAAAGCTATCCTTAAATACATGAAGAGCTAAACTAGTGTGTGGATTTGGGATTAGATTAATCTTTGTTGCTCCAGAGAGGAAAACTAGTAAATTTACCAGGAGGCAGGTTTGGACTCCAAATAAGAAATTTACTAATCACAAGAACCATAGGAAAAAGGGATAGATCACCCTGCATGTTCAATCAGAGTCTAGATAACGAAATGCTAAGGACACTTAAGATTTCCACACTCTGGGACAAGATGGCATTGACTTATTGGGATTATCTAAAATTCTTCTTGCTATAGTTGTTTGGAACAGTAGCTGCTTCAAACTCCATGTCTAAGGGCATTTAGTGTAATAATAAACAAGCAGTGCAGCATGATGGTTAAGAGTTACAAGTAGGCTTGGAGGATGGCTCTCTGGCTATAAATCTAGGCTCTGCAAATGACTTCTCTATGTGGAATAGGGCAAATTACTTAATATTTATGTGCCTCAATTTCCTTGTTTTAAAATGGAGTGATAATAATACCTATTTTAGGCAGGATGTGATGTGGCTTATGCCTGTAATCACTTTGAGGCAGATGGTGGAGGATCACTTGAGGCCAGGAGTTCAAGACCAGCCTGGGCAACATAGCAAGTCCCTTTCTCCAAAAAATAATAGTAGTTTAAAGAAGAAAAAAAAACCTGTTTCATGACATTGTTGAGAGAATTATATTAGTTAATATGGTAAACCAAGCAATGGCTCAGTAAATGTTAGCTATTATCATGACCTTACTGCAATCCCTACAATAACCCTCTGAAGTGGTTATTATTACTAGATGAGGAAAGTGAGGTTGAAAAAGATTAAGTAATTTGCTCTGGTCTGTACAGCCAGTAAAATGGAATAGAAAAGAATAATTTCTAGGACTGTCATATTAAAATTTTCCACGCTCTTTCTGTTCTGATATTTGGCCTCCCACTGCACCATAGGATGCTAAAATGACTGAAATAGCAGTAAACTTTGTGGAATATGGGTGCCAAATTATCCACATTAAAGATTTCTTAAGTTCTTGTGTGTGAACAGCACAACATGATGTGTATGAAGATGCAGAAAGTAAAATGCAGTTCTTTTCTCTTGGGGCTTAATACCTCTGACTGTCAAAATGCACAGAGAGCATTTTATCTCAATGACAGAGAAACAGATGGGTACAAAAATAATACTAATACCTTTTAAGTGACTGCTAACTACAAATCTTGTCAGGTATGGTAACCCCAGAAGAAATTGCTCTTAAGAAGAATGAATTCTAGAGCTATAATCCCAATAGTTGTAATTTACAGGGGAAGGCTTTATGATAAACTTCTACTGGTGGGAACCTTAGGAGGCAAGCAAACAGCTGATTAAATGTGTGAAAATATACTTTCAAGTGTTAGACAAAGTTTCCATTGCCGATTTTCTCAATATTCATGTCATAAGATAATTAGAAGGCTGAATAAGAGTGAACTTGAACCTTTAGGTTAATCAAAAGCCTTAAAAAACAAGTTAAAGGGGCCAGGCGTGGTGGCTCATGCCTGTAATCCCAGCACTTTGGGAGGCCGAGGCGGGCAGATCATGAGGTCAGGAGATCGAGACCATCCTGGCTAACATGGTGAAACCTCATCTCTACTAAAAATACAAAAAAAAAAAAAAAAAAAAATTAGCTGGGTGTGGTGGCAGGCGCCTGTAGTCCCAGCTACTCAGGAGGCTGAGGCAGGAGAATGGCATGAAGCCGGGAGGCGGAGCTTGCAGTGAGCCGAGTTCGCACCACTGCACTCCAGCCTGGGCGACAGAGCGAGACTCCATCTCAAAACAAACAAACAAAAAACAAGTTAAAGTAACTCTTATATTCTTAGCTTTTTAAGATATATAACTTCTTCTTCTCCTTCTTAAATGAGGTGTGTTTTCATTTGCCTTAGCAGCTTTTAAAATATAAATTACTTTTTCACTCACGGATGTTTTTTCTTCATATTTTAAAAGGGACAACTCCAGCCTTAAAATAAACCTTGACTTTGTCCTTTTAATATGAAGCCAAGCATATTTACTAGTTGTTATCATTTTCTTTAAAAATGTTTAATTCGAGGAAAAGAAAATTAGTTGACTACAGTTGCTTGTGTTTCTTTTTGCTTGAAAATCCATCAATCTAACAGATTGTGTAAGCATGACAATTTATTATTCATTATGATCTTTTTGGTTTCGGCCATTTACAACAAAAATAAATTAATTAAAACACAGATACCTCTAAACATTACTGAGTGGGCAAGAATCAAGAGTAAGTTACACATTACAGGATGCCAAAACTTTTACTCAGTGAATGATGAGAAGGGGGACTCTGTGTATAAATCATAAAACTTAATTACAAACCAGAAGGTACTGAATCTCTTTTACACTGGTAACTTTGTACCTTACACTAACTGTAAGGTATGTAAGTATAAGTGCAATATTTAGTAAGTGTCTAAAATACATTAGATTAGAATAAATAAACTAATTTTAGATAATGTAGAAGCAGAATGGGGAGATTTGTTAGATTTATTAATAAATATTTACACTATATTTTCTGAGACCAGATCTTTATCTTCAAGGACTTTATATTCTTGACAGGCAAATAGGAGGGAGAAATTTGTCTATAAGCAGTATTCTATACTTGTTATAGTCATTTAATTTAGACTTCACCCTTCCACTGGAATGACTCTCTTGGAAATCCGATATAACTTCTTAATCACTATCTCCATAATGTTCACATTTCTTGACCTTTCTGCAGCATTCAATATTAGGAATCAAAAGTTTTATGGCAACCCCCTTTTTCTCTGGTTTTCTTGACATGATATTTTCTCCAGACTAAAGTATTGCAACAATTTTATGTGGTAGGTATTTTGCTCACATAGGTGTTTTCACTCACTTTTTTATTCTACATTTGTAATCAGTATTTCTTGTGTACATATATATATATAATATATTTTTAAAATTATACTTAAAGTTCTTGGATACATGTACAGAAGGTGCAGGTTTGTTACATAGGTATGCACATGCCATGGTGGTTTGCTGCACCCATCAACCCGTCATCTGCATTAGGTATTTCTCCTAATGCTACCCCTCTCCTATCCCGCCACCCCCAACAGGCCCCGGTGTGTGATGTTCCCCTCCCTGTGTCCATGCATTCTTATTGTTCGACTCCCCCCCGCCACATAAATGAGTGAGAACATGTAGTGTTTGGTTTTCTGTTCCTGTGTTAGTTTGCTGAGAATGATGGTTTCCAGCTTCATCCATGTCCCTGCAAAGGACATGAACTCATCCTTTTTAATGGATTCACAGTATTCCATGGTGTATATGTGCCACATTTTCTTTATCCAGTCTATCATTGATGGGCATTTGGGTTGGTTCCAAGACTTTGCTATTGAGCCCGTATAGCCAAGACAATCCTAAGCAAAAAGAACAAAGCTGGAGACACCATGCTACCTGACTTCAAACTGTACTACAAGGCTATGGGAAACAACAGATGCAGGAGAGTGTGTGGAGAAATAGGAACGCTTTTACACTGTTGATGGGAGTGTAAATTAGTTCAACCATTGTGGAAGACAGTGTGGCCATTCCTCAAGGATCTAGAACCAGAAATACCATTTGACCCAGCAATCCCGTTACTGGGTATATACCCAAAGGATTATAAATCATTCTACTATAAAGACACATGTACACGTATGTTTATTTCACCCACTTTTTTAAAGAAAAGATAGAGTAAGTAAATTGCCAAAGGTGACATAGCTATTAAATTGACAAGCCTGAAGTTACACACAGTACCATGTAAATGTAAAGTCCCTAATAAAACACTGCAATATAGCTCCAAAATGGCAGTTCTCACACCCATGAGCTTTTACTGTTACTCCTCTCCCTCCTGCCTGACTGCCTTTTTTTGCATTATTTTCTTCTGTTGCTGCTTATCTCCTAAATGTGGAAGTTTTACAAGATTATACATGTAATCATCTCTTTTCTTTCTTATTACCATCTCCTTTCTGGATCTCAGTCACTTTCAATTCTTCAAAAAGAGTTATTCTATCTCGACACCTCTCCTAAGCTTAACTCCCACTCCCAAGGGGCTATATTGTATTTTCACTTGGACATTTAGCACTATGCAGTGACTTGCTTTCCTTGGGTTATATAGATCATGAATGCTTTTCTTTTTTATACTGGAATCACCTATGCCTGACAGACTCATCTCCCTTCATTTCCTTCATTCCCCTCAAAGCAACACCCATACAAACAGTTTGTAGCAGAGTGTTCCAAATTTTGAGGCAAATGGAGGAGGACCAAAGAGGAACAAAACAAATGTCAAAAAGACAAAATGAAATAGAGATCCCATTTTTCTAAAAATGCTTTGGCTATTTCTTCTCACAAAATGAGAGGCAGATTTTCCATTAAGCTAATGAAGTTTAAGTTTCTGCTCTCTTAATGCAACCAGGCTTCTTTCCAGCCCTTGGAAAGAGCCCTAGCAATGTGCTCACTTGGCCATATATTTTTGTAAAATCTGCAATAGCACATATCTTGGTAATATTTTTTTCCTGAGGGGCCCTCAAAATAAATAGGCTTCTGTCCCCAGAGACTGACCCCTGCACAAAGTTCTTTCTTACCAGGTAGGTATTTCTCACCTTACAGCCCTCCATTTTCCCTGGACTGTTTCTCTTTTTATCCTCCCTTGTGGCTCTCAATTTCACATCTTTACATTTCCTCTCTCTCTCTATCTCCCTCTTGTTCTGTGTCTGTCTATCTACCTAACTATCTAATCTTTTTCCTCTCCACCATGCTCTGGGAAGAGGGAAACAAAGCATCACTTTCTCTACCCAAAGAAGTAATCAAGATATTTTCCTAAATCAAGACCTTTTCCTTTATTATGACATATACCACTGTCCTATTTATGCATTTATTATTTTGACCTGCCTTTCTAAATTTTCTGAGATATCAGCTGGTCATTACTGAAAACTTACCACATGCCAAACATTGTGCTAATTGCTTTACATTTATTAAATCATTTAAATCATAATAGCAACTTTATGAGGCAGGTATAATTTTTTCTGATCATTTTAAAACCAATGCTTAGGGAGGTTAAATCATGTATCCAAGGTCACACAGCTAGCATTTGGTAGACTCTTGATTTGAATAGTTAAACTTAGCCACAGATGTGTGCTTTTACCCCTTCCCCATTTTGCCATCCAGATACCACTCTTCCGAAAAACTCTCCTTGGTTTGTCTAACAAGAAGTATCCTTGCCTTGCTCTCAACTCCCATGTTTGTATCAATTTTATCCTCTTTCTTCAAATTACCTTGTATTGTTATTAATCTTTAATTTTTAAAATTTTAAGTGGCACATAATAGTAGTACATATTTATGAAATACAAAGTCATATTTCGATACATGTATACAATGTCTAATGATGAAATCAGGTAATTAGCATATCCATCACCTCAAACAGTTATCATTTCTTTGTGTTGGGAACATTCAAAATTCTTTCTTCTAGCTATTTGAAAATATACAGTAAATTATTATTAAATATAATCACTCTACAGTGCTATAAAAAGCTAGAACTTATTCCTCCTATCTAGCTGTAATTTTGTATCCTTTAAACAACCTCTTTCTATCCCCGCTCCTTTCTGTCTTCTAGTAACCACTGTTCTACTCTCCACTTCTGTGAAATAAACTTTTTTAGGTTCCATGTATGGGTGACAGCATGTGGTATTTCTCTTTCTGCACCTGGCTTATTTCACTTAATATAATGTTCTCATCCATGTTGCTGTAAGTGACACAATTTCTTCCTTTTTATGGCTGAGTAGTATTCCATCATGTATATATACCACATTTTCTTCATCTGTTCATCTGTTGTTGGGCACCTAGGTTGATTCTGTATCTTGGCTATTGTGAATAGTGCTGCAGTAAACATGGGGGTGCAGATATCTCTTCAATATTCTGATTTCCTTTCCTTCAGATAAATACCCAGTCATGGGATTGTTGGATCATATGGTAATTCTATTTTTAGTTCTTTGAGGAACTTCCATAATGTTCTCCATAATGGCTGTACTAATTTATATTCCCAACGGCAGTGTATTAGAGTTCCTTTTTGTTCACATCCTTGCCAGCATTTGTTATTTTTTCTCTTTTTGATAATAGCCATTCTAACTGTGGTAAGATGATATCTTCTCATGGTTTTGGTTTGCATTTCCCTGATGATTATTGATGTTGAACATTTCTTCATGTATTTATTGGCCATTTGCATGTTCTCTGTTGAGAAATGTCAATCCAGATCCTTTGCCCTTTATTTTTCTTGGAGTATTTGGTTTTTTTCTGTTGAGTCAAGGTTGGTTTTTTTTTTTGTATATTCTGCATATTAATTCCTTGGATAAATAGTTTGCAAGATTTTTCTTCCATTCTGCAGGTGGTCTCTTCACTCCCTTGATTGTTTCCTTTGCTATGCAGAAGCTTTTCGGTTTGATCTAATCCCATTTGTCTACTTTTGCTTTTGTTGCCTTTGCTTTTGAGGTCTTACCCATAAAATCTTTGCTTACACCAATGTCCTGAAGCATTTCACCTATGTTTTCTTCTGTGTTGTTATTAATCTCAAAAGTACAATAACACTATCTTAAACTCATGGAACTTCATACATTGCTTCGTGGGAACCAATCCAGTATTTTATGAAATGGTTTTTGTGGCAAAAACACAATTTCAGTTACATCTAGATAAACGAAATAACTATTATAAAATTCATAAGTATACTGCTTTAAAAAATCTGTTGAAAACGTAAGCATTTATTACCTTCAGCAGGATATAACCTGTATGGACTAGATCTCTTAAGGATGAACCTGGGCTGCATTTTGAAAACTATATACCTGTGACATTCACAGGGACTTCAAAATGCAATGTGTCATCTCTCCTAATGGGTGATATTGGCTTTAACAACTGGGAAGCAGCTGTTAGAAGAAAACAGGTGTTCTTAGTTGACAGGGAAAGTAATTATAAGCATTATAATTATTAATGCAACTATGATAAATATATATATACTAAGTATAAAAATATATATGCAAAAATAATATGATATAAAATTAAACTATAAGTAAGCAACTATAAGCATTATAATTAATGACTGCACTCTCACCTGATTCTGAGAAATTTGCCTGCTGGCATATATGCAAAAAATAATAAATCAGTACCTATAAATTGGATTAGGGTGATTATACAGTAAAATAAACTGTAAGTTAGGAGTTGGGTAGGTATCAGTGTGACTCAGGGAAAGGAATGTGACAAGAGGAAGGCAGGGATCAGATGGAATGGGCATATGAACAAAGTGAAAATGAAATTGGACACCAGTCATTCAAGTAATAGTGATATGCATTTGATACTTAACTGTATGGTATTTAGTGGGTTGGAAAAAGTAGGTGATATTCAGTGTGAGAATGGATCTGTGCAAAGTTTCTGTTAGGAGAACTTGAACAGGCATGTTGGTGAATAAATTTTGGTTTTCCTTTGTTACAAACAAAGCCAAGATTACTAATTAAGAGCAACCTTAAAGGATGCACTTTTAGCAAGCATCGCTTAAAAGTAGTGTCTCTTCTCATGCCTGTAATCCCAGCACTTTGGGAGGCCAAGGTGGGCGGATCACGAGGTTAAGAGATTGAAACCATCCTGGCCAAAATGGTGAAACCGCATCTTTACTAAAAATACAAAAATTAGCTGGAGGTGGTACGTGCCTGTAGTCCCAGCTACTCGGGAGGCTGAGGCAGGAGAATCATTTGAACCTGGGAGGTGGAGGTTGCAGTGAACTGAGATCACTCCAGCCTGGATGACAGAGCCAGACTCCATCTCAAATAAATAAATAAATAAATAAATAAAAGTAGTGTCTCTTTGTGCTTGAAAAGATTGCCTGGAGCAAATTTTTTTCATCACTGTCTTTTAAAATTAATGCCATAAAAGGAGTATTTTGTTGCCTAGCAGTTCTGTTTTTTTTTTTTCCACTGGACTGACTGAGAGGAATGAGTGTAAGCTTAAATACAAAGTTAGAACTCAGAAAGAATTTTCAACAGTAGGCAGGCCAACATCATAGTCAAAAGTGTGAGCTTTGGAGTCAGGTTGCTGGAGTTCATTGTTGAAGTTCTGCTACTTACAGTCTATGCCATACTGAGAAGTAACTCCATCTTTCTTAATCTCTATTTCTACCTCTGTGAAAAGGAGTTAATGGTACCCCTTATGGTGGTAATGAGTATTAAATGAGTTAATTCATGCAAAACACTTAGTAGCCAGTGCCTGGCACATACTAAGTGCTAAATACATGTGAAATAAAATTATTAAAAATAGCTGAATGAAATTATAGACAGAAAGTCGATTAGATGTTACCAAAGGCAAGGGATGGAAGGGAATGGGGAATTATTGCATAATGGATACAGAGTTCCTGTTTAGGGTGATGAAATATTTTGGAAATAGATAATGATAATGGTTACAAAACATTGTGAATATAGTTAATGCCACTGAATTGTACACTTAAATATGGTTAAAATTGAAAATTTTGAATATGGTTAAAATATGGAACATTTTACCATAATAAAAAGAAAGAAAGCATATAAATGATGGTTCTCACTCAGGTTTAGACCTGTTCCACACTCTCTTTCCTTTGATTTTGCCTAATGCCAGGAAACATACATAAGCATACTTTCAGATCTAACACACTGATTACTTTCAGTGCCATCTGCAGCGTACTGTGGCATGCAAGGGAAGATCCCTGAGACAAATTATCCTCCACAATGTCCCCTAAGCCAGTGGACGTCATTTTGGCAGTCTGAGGGGCCTCTAGAGTGCATGATCATGAGAGAGAGGTTTCCTTCAACAGACCCCCACAGCCTTGGCCGTGAAGCTTGGCTTGGGAGGGTGTTCCTGATGGCTCAGGCTGCCTCAGAGAGGAGGCACAAGGCTGTGGCTTTATGAGACAAACTCAGCCATGGTGCTTATCAGTCACTGCAAGATGTGTCCAGATGTGCTATGTTCCATTTCATTTAGGTCAAGCAATCAAGCACAATGATTCAAAATTGAAACCAACTTTTTTTTTTTTTTTTGAGACGGAGTCTTGCTCTGTCACCCAGGCTGGAGTGCAGTGGCACGATGATCTCGGCTCACTGCAACCTCCGCCTCCCTGCAACCTCCACCTCCCGGGTTCACACCATTCTCCCGCCTCAGCCTCCCGAGTGGCTGGGACTACAGGTGCCCGCCACCACGCCTGGCTAATTTTTTGTATTTTTAGTAGAGACGGGGTTTCACCATGTTAGCCAGGATGGTCTCTATCTCCTGACCTCGTGATCCGCCCGCCTTGGCCTCCCAAAGTGCTGGGATTACAGGTGTGAGCCACTGCGCCCAACCGAAACCAACTTTTATAACGTAATTTTCAATCCAAAAATTTTGCTAATTTAGCAATAGATTGGTGACCATCAAGGGGGTTTATCATGAGGTGCACAAAAGCTAAGGAAAGCTAGGCCCAAGTGAGACTTTTTTCCCTGAGATTTCTTCTAACTACTTGGTGGCTTTCAGAAAACCTGGAGTTTTAAAATAAACGTAGCTGTTTACTAAATTGGAATTATTTAAAAATACAGTCGGCTATCTATCCATACTTGAAACATATAGTTGGACTATTTGACTCCAGAAGTTCTTTTCGATTCTGTGATTCTATGTATTAATCCTACCCAGCATTATTAGACATTAATAGAAAAGATGCACCATCACAAATCATTCCCTTGGCCAAGCTATGAAAATACATATGAAATAATATGTGTTAACAATTTCGTAATGTAATATATTTCTAATGGATCTAAATGATTAAGCTTGATAGTTATTGTTAATTAGTAATAATCACGTTAGTTATTTTTAGTCTCATTTCATTCTGAATAGGGACAAATGTGTATATAACTTCATATTTAAAAAAAAATATATATATATATATATATATATTTTTTTTTTTTTTGAGACGGAGTCTTGCTTTGTCGCCCAGGCTGGAGTTCAGTGGTGCGATCTCAGCTCACTGCAACCTCTGTCTCCTGGGTTCACACCATTCTCCTGCCTCAGCCTCCCGAGTAGGTGGGACTACAGGCGTGTGCCACCATGCCCATCTAATTTTTTGTATTTTTAGTAGAGATGGGGTTTCACCATGTTAGCCAGGATGGTCTCAATCTCCTGACCTCATGATCCACCCGCCTCGGCCTCCCAAAGTGCCGGGATTACAGGCGTGAGCCACTGCTCCCGGCCCATACTTAAAATATTTAAGTCAATACCTTACTCAACTACTGATGTTAGATGAGAGATATTAATTTGTATTGCATGTGAGGTCGTTATGTTTGTAGTTATTTCACACATGTGTATTGAGTGCTGACTTTGTGCAGGGCATTGGAAACGTGATGAAGAAAATTGGGCAACATCGTTGCCCTTGTAGAGTCTATTCCAATCTCCTTCAAAAAATAACCCTTATATCTTAATAATTTAAACGCTAATATGCTATAGAACTAAATGGGAAAAAAGCTAACTACTGCAATACATCTATTATTGTACTTGGCATAGCAACTCTGTGAGAAAAAGTATCTCTGTTTTATAAGAGAGGAAATTGCTTAAGACACTATCAGGTCAGGTTAATAATGTAGAGTGCCTCATTGTAGTTGTTGTTTGGTAAATTCCGTATAATTATTTTAGATACCTTAGCAGAAATGTGGGAGAAACTCGAAAATTATATAGGTAGATAGACACTATTATTCTGAGCAGAGGCCTTGAAAATGATAGTTCATTGTTAAAAAAGTTATAGTAATAAAAGAAATTTTAATTTTTTAAGAATTTTAAAGAAAATTTTAAGACTCATGTATTTAATTTTTAAGAAATCACGTATTTATGACATATGTATGACATACATACGATATATATGATTTTATATATATGTGTGTGTGTATATATCTATATATATATAATCACACTGCAAAGTTCATTGCTTCTATCCCCACTCACTACAATAGTGGTTTTCAATTAGATATATATGATTATATATATAAATATATGTATATATCTATATATACATATACATTAAAACAAGAATTAAATAAATTGTGATATATTTGCATATACATACAGAATGCTATCTTCTCAAGAATGAGATAGAACTAAATGTATTGACTGAAAGACCTCCATCTTGTAGTAAGTAGTAAATAGCAAGTCATAGAACAAATAGGTACAATTTTATTATTTCATTTGAACAGCATATGGGTGTGAATTTTGCATGGGTACATAAATATACTGAAAGAATCTATAAGTTTATACACCAAACAGTTCATAGTGGTTACTTCTAATGCAGTTTTTTTTTCTTTTACCTGGAGCCCAATAATTCTTTGTTATGGGTCTGTGCATTGTAGAGTGATTAGCAGCATCTCTTGCCCCCAGCCGCCAGACACCAGTAACATTCTCCCTCCCCCATTATGACCACCAAAAATGTCTCCAGACATTGTCATGTGTGCTTATAGATTCTTTCAGTATATTTTATATACCCATGCAAAATTCACACCCATATGCTGTGCAAATGAAATAATAAAATTGTACCTATTTGTTCTATGACTTGCTATTACTACTTACTACAAGATGGAGGTCTTTCAATCAATACATTTAGTTCTGTCTCGTTCTTGAGAACATAGCGTTCTATTTGTGTATGCAAATATATCATAATATATTTAACTCTTGTTTTATTTTTTTTCCTGCCTCAGCCTCCTGAGTAGCTGGGATTACAGGCCCCCACCACCACACCCAGATAATTTTTGTATTTTTAGTAAAGAAGGAGTTTCGCCATGTTGGCCAGGGTGGTCTCGAACTCCTGACCTCAGATGATCCGCCTCCCTCAGCCTCCCAAAGTTCTGGGATTACAGGTGTGAGCCACTGCGCCCAGCCTCTTATTTTATTAGTGGACATTTCAGTTGTTTTCAATCTTTTACTATTTCAAATGGTTTCAATGCAAATCCTCATATGTATATTTTTTGTGCAAATGTGTAAGCGTTTCTGTAAAACTATTTCCTAGAAGTAAAATTGCAAAGTTAAATTGTATGAACATTGGATACTGCCAAGCCCTTCATAAAGGATGTATGCAAGTTATATTCCCACAAACTGTCTATGAGAATGATAGGAATATTTTCAATTTTTCAAGTATGTTTTAATAAAAATTAATTTAATGAAAGCAAATAAAATTGTGCTGGATTTCAAGACTGTTTGGACAAAGTCACAAAGGCCTATCAAGCTGGATCAGAGGACATAATAATGGTCATTAGAAAGTACAATGTGATGATCATGGAACTCATTTTGCTCCACAAGCAATAGCACTGTGATGACTAACTCCCATGGCAGGTATATCCATTGTCTATATTGTTAGGGAAATTTACCAGAGAGCTAATGGATTCTGGCTGCCTTGTTAACGTGATCCAGTCTGTCATCTGCCTTCACCTAACTGCTTCGTAACTGAAGTAACAGCAGTTGTCCACAGAATTTATAGCAACATGGATTTTCAGTAAGGCAGAGGAAAAATAAACCTGGAAACAAGTTGCCTACTGAGATAATTAGAAAAGAAACCATGAATAAATGAATTCTAAGAATGAGATATTTGGGGACTAGAAATGGAATCAGTAAAACATGAATTAAATAATCTCTTTTCCCTAACCTTGCCAAACAGAACAACTGCATAAATAAGGCTCAGGTATATAATATAGGAATGCCACTTAACCCACTACTTTTCTTATGAAACAGAAAGAGCTGGTTGTAAACCATGATAGATTTGTTGGCACAAAGAGTGTCGTAACAAGAGGTCTCCAATTGCATGACTGTTTTGTCAACAAATCTTTAAAAAATCTCCATCAGTTATGTGACATTTCTTGCACACTGCTCTGTCACTTAGCTATTTGTCCCACAGAAAGGCCAGGCTGACCAGTCATCTGTGAATAGCTGCTGGGTTTACAGTGTTAAAAAAGGTAGATACTTCCTCTTCTTTCTGCATCTTAGGAGGGTAAGCGGACGTTTAAAACCAATTATGTAATTATTTAACTACCTTAATGATAAGAGTTGAAGGTGCTATGAAAAGATATAGCAGAGTGCCTGACCTAGTCTATGGTGTAGATGACAAAGGCATTCTTAAAGAAGTGATATTTAAGGCTGGGCGCTGTTGCTCACGCCTGTAATCCCAGCACTTCTGGAGGCCAAGGTGGGCGGATCGCTTGAGCTCAGGAGTTCGAGGCCAGACTGGGCAACATGGCAGAAAACCCACCTCTATGAAAAATACAAAAATTAGCCAGGTGTGGTGGTGCACACCTGTAGTCCCAGCTGTTCGGGAGGCTGAGGTGGGAGGATGGCTTGAGCCTGGGAGGCAGAGATTGCAATGAGCTGAGATTGTGCCACTGCACTCCAGCCTGGGCAATAGAGCCAGACCCAGTCTCAAATAAATAAATAAATAAATATATAGAAGTGTATTTGAGCCATGATGGGGGAACTGTATCACTTGTACCTTTAAACACTTTAAGCATTTTCTAAAACACTTAGTGTTCATTTCGTATGTTTCCTAGTGTTGGTTTTTCTAGAATTAAGCTCCTCTATAGAGTGAAAATTTCATAAAGAAATATAATGTCATAAATCTTTGTTTTTTATTAATAATTCACACAGTTCATGACATATGGTAAATGTCTAATTTGTAGTTTCTTTTATTTATTCATTGGTTTATTCATTTATCAGTGTGTAAGATGTGCCCACTACTATCTAAACCCCAAGAAATAGTAGTGACCTAGTTGAAAAGGTCTCTGCTCTCATAAGTTTTACTTTCTGGTGTTGGCGGGGTGTGGTGTCCAGGCAACATCCATGGAAACAAATAATTTGTAGCATCAAGTACTATACGGAAAATAAAATAGACTAATGTGACAGAGTGTGAACATTAGTGGTTAGGGAAGCCTTTTTAAAATAAATGGAGTTTGAGCTTTGAATCTTATACCCTCCAACCCTCCTTGTCAACTTTCATTCATTGAAGATTCTGACATGTGGTTAATGACATTCTTCCACCGTACCTTCCTTGGCTCATTCAGTATGCAAGTGGATAACCCGAATGTTTTAGTCTGTTTTGTGTGGCTATAACAGAATACCACATACTGGGTAATTTTAGTGAAAAGAAATTTATTTCTTACCGTTCCGGAAGCTGGGAAGTCCAAGGTCAAGGGGTCCACATGTGGTAAGGGCCTTCGTGCTATGTGCTTCATCCCATGGCAGAAGTTAGAAGGGCAAGTGAGCACAAGAGCAAGAAGGGGCCAAACTTTCTTTTATACAAGCACACCCTCAGGATAACACACCTACTCCGAGAAAATGACATCAATTCATTCATGAGGGCAGGATCCTCATGACCTAATCACCTCCTGTTGGGCCTTATCTCCCAACACTGTTGCATTAGAAATTCAGTTTCCAACATATGAACTTTGAGTGACACATTCAAACCATAGCACCAAACAATACTCTGTTCTTCCAGTTCTTTGACCTTCTCACCTCCTTCATTCTACCTTAGTGACTCACACCTGTGGTCATAACCTTGACCTTATCCTCACCTATAACTACATCACTCCCTAAATTTCACTTTAAAGCATTCTACCTTTCGGCCACCACTTCCTGACGTTTCATCTCATATGCCATAGTATCTTCACTTCATTAATTGTTTAACTTTGTTGAACATATTATTTTATCTAAGCACTTTTCTAATACCCAGCTTGATTTCAAGGTTCATCAATAATACCACTTTGATTGGTTAATCATTCTAAACACACCTTTATGAATACCCTAACTTTCTTGCTCTTTCTCCAAATATCATATTGCCCAGCAAAAGCCCAGGCCTGGGTCAGATGTAATCTTTGGCTTCCATTCTGCTCCTGAGCAGCTGATTGTGGCTGGAGGAAAAACATACAACTGCACTGACTGGTCACTCTTTAAATTCATGAGCACAAATCTCAAAAGGGCAAGCAGAGCTACCATTCCTTAGAATGTTTTTCTTACTCCACTCTTCAGAATAACTACTTCATGCCCATTTCTGTCTCATCAAGTTTTAACTGCTTTCTCTGTCAAAGCACCCTTCCCAGTCTTTACCCACCCTCCTCCTACTATCGATGGCCTTGTCTCTACCTTCTTTGAGATTTAAATGAAAGGAAGTAATTAGCCTTGAAAAATGTGGAAAAAGTTAAAGAATACAATTGTAATTCCTTTTCCACATCCCTGCTCAAGAATGCCTGGCATTCTATTGTGTCTATTTAGTGTGAGCTTAAAATGTTTTGTTGACTTGAATTTTTAAAATTAAAGCAATCATCAGATACTTTTTTCTTTTCAATATTTACCATGTTTTAGGCCCTAATTTCATCTTTCTTTTTCCTTTGCCCACAATCAAAACTTGCAATATATTTTTAAGATCTCTATATTCAAGTTAAGATCATAGTTCAGTAATAGCTTTCAATTGATTTTTATTAACTTACTGTAATCCCTCAAGGGGAAAATGGCATTAAGGCATTTAGGAACCCTACTTTTCACTTTTCAAAACAAACTGAATTTTTTCAAGAATGTATTTTTTTTTCTTTTAACCAACCTATATAAAGAGAAGTAGTTAAAATGAGCCACTTAATGGTTTTGTACATAATATTTTTAAGTGTTAAAAGTTACTTTATAGCTAAAACTCATTCCTTTCAGGAATTCCTGTGAAGGAATTTCTACTTCAATCTGTAGGTTGATTGTTGGTGTTTAAGCAACTATAAGGAAAGTACTCCAGATATTTAGAAGAGTGTTTTGTAATAAGATCTTTAACAGATAACTTCTCAGTGATGAATTGAGTTATAACCCTTCATTAGTTTATTCTGCCTTCTATTTGCCA